>NT_167247.2:2300062-2503464 GCF_000001405.40 Homo sapiens
GGCCATAAAACTGACACCCGTTTGTGCTGTGCTTTCACGTACATCGCACCTGTGATCCTCCGATCACCCTGCGAGTTACGAGGCCTGCTTTACAAGCCTTATAAGAAGTTACAGACCTTATAAGAGTTCTTATAAAGCTTGCTTTACAGATGAGAAAACCGAGGCTCAGAGAAGAGCCCTGTTCAAACCCACACGGCTCCTATGGAACAGAAGGCTTGCTTTATTTTCTCCAAGCCTCAATTTCACTTTGTTCCTCAGTGGAGCCAGGTTCTCTGACACCAAGGCAGCCCCACCTGGACGGGTGGGATGTTACAGGGACCACCTAAGGAACAGGGTGTAATTGAGATTTGCACGAGGGTGTCCAGCCCCTTCTTCCAGAGTCCAGGCCTCCCTTTCCAGCTCCTTGAACGTCCAGAGAGTCTTCTTCTGGCCTCACTGCCAGTATCCCAGGTCAGGGTTTTTTCTGCCAGCCTCTGTCCCCGGAGACACATTAACTGGCCTCATAGTCACAGGCTCTGCATCCTCCCCTCACAGTGCCCAGCTGTCCCTGGAGAGGTGCTGGCAAAGTAAGAAGATCCAATGATTTGGGACACAGTCACCTTCATTTTTCTCCCCTCTGCCTCCTACAAAGGCCTCTGTCCCAGAAATGAGACATCCCAGAGAAAACAGGTTTCTGCTGACCTCTGGCTGGGAGGGTGGGTCTCCTCTCCTCCCACAGATGTGATTCCCTTGTTCTCTCCCGCTCCCTCCTTCTTCCCTCATATTGTCATGGCCTTAAGATACCCCTCCCTGGAGAGGGAGCGTCCAGAAGTTACGGCCTCCCCTGCCTGGTGGCAACTATAAATGCCACAGCTATGGTCAAGTGAGAAAAGAAATTAAGCCAGACATATTGTGGGAGCAACCCTCAGAACCCAGGAATCCAGCATTCCCAGTCCCCACTCACCACTGTCTTGGAACCTACCCCAACTGATCTTACTCCTCCCAGAACCCTGCCCCTGGCAAGCTTTTAATTCTTCCTGCAACTTCATGTCCCATTGAGACACCAGGCATCAAGGCCCCCTCTGGAGCCCATCTGCCCTCTAGAACCCAGGCATTCTAGATAACAACTTCCCACATGGATTATTTCAAGATGAGGTGAGGGAAATTACCTCCCACCTCCTGCATCCAGGTGATGCTTCTCTTTGGAATCTTGAGACTGGTAAGTGAATTATCCATCAATCGGAGAAGACACTGAGGCCACAAAAAGTCTGAAGGAGACAAGGGTTCCTGTCCCAGGCATTCTGTTTGCTTTTCTTATTCTCATTCTTTTGCAAAAGCAAAAAGCAAGCAAAGATGATGAACTTCTTTTTTGCCCCTTTCTGCAAAAGCCAGTACTAACCTTAACCCCCACTAACCACGATTTTGACCCCCAACTTCACCTTGCAGCAAACCCACCTTCATCTTCCCCTTCCAATGCTCCGCTGTAAGCATGAACACAAATAATAGCTGTGTTGTATTTCCTTAGAATCCCGGGTTTAACGGCTGCTCAACAAATGCTTTGTATCTAACTTGAAAATTCTAGTTTCAATATCATCTTTAAATATTTATTAGAGCTAGGCTCCAAGTCTAAAGCCAAGTGAAATGAAAATATCACTTCCAGAAATACTGCCTAAATTAAAATCCTCAGTAGGGCTTTCATAATCCCCGGATAGAGACAGGGAGGGATCCTTCGGATCCCAGGGATACGGGAACTGTGGGTGATATTAGCCTGAAGAGAAGTACAATCCAAATTCCTGTCTTCCTAGCCATTTCACCTGACTTCTCTCCACCTGACTTCTCTCCTTGGTCCCTTCAATGTTTCAAGTTTCTCTGCCTAATGACTACAACCCAATGTCAGGCAGATTTATAAAGCCCCTTCGCTTCCACTGTAGGATGGAATGCCATAAAAAGGGAGCAAGGAGACAGTTGTGGAATTGGAATAAACAGAAACAGCCCTAGGCTGAATGAACAGGAGGCTGCTTTGTGGTGGCTTCTTTGATGTCTGTTTCCTGCATCCTCTCTCTGCTCTCTTATCCCAGGCACTCTCCTGGAGACCCTGCCTTGCACATCCTGTTCTTTTCCTCCTCCCTGCGTCTCTGTGAGCTTGTTCATTTTAAGAGGCCCAAATTATTACTGCAACAGGCAACTTCCAAACTCATATTAAGTCTACCTTGGCTCTGAAATCCAGTCCTTTATTTTCAATTTTTTTTCAATAATATCTTCACTTGGATGTCACATCATATCAAACGTGACATTCACGTGTTCATCTGGCAAACATTTTTTGAGCATCTACTCTGTGCTAGTTCTGAAGATAAATCAGTGAACAAAACAGCAACAGGCCCTGCCTTCAGGGAGCTCACAGTTCACTAGGAAAGGCAGAGATCACACAAAGAAGGCATATAATAAAAGAGAGGCACAAGTGTGCAAAATACTGTCAGGACCCACCTCGTCTTCCCACCATCAAGTCTAAAAAGCCGCCTTCATCAGCATCCATTCTCCCCTGCTAACATTGGAGTGTTCGTGCATCTTGGCTCTGGCTCCCCCATCCCACACCTCCTGCCTTCTTCATGGGCTTCTTCCCCTTCCAGTTTTTCCTTCTCCTTCTACAGGGTCCTTCCCAACACCAGCCAAATAAGCCCTAAGCAGTGTGCACAGGAAGCACCCAGAGGAGAGTATTTTTAAAAAGTAGATTTCTAAAGACCCGGCACGGTGGCTCATGCGTATAATCCCAGCACTTTGGGAGGCTGAGGTGGGCGGATCACGCCAGGAGTTTGAGACCAGCCTGGACAACATAGCGAAACCCCGTCTCTACTAAAAATACAAAACTTAGCCAGGTGTGGTGGTGCACACCTGTAATCTCAGCTACTTGGGAGGCTGAGGCAGGGGAATCACTTGAACCTGGGAGGCAGAGGTTGCAGTGAGCTGAGATCACACCAGTGCACCCCAGCCTGGGTGACAGAATGAGATGCTGTCTCAAAAAAATAAAAAATAAATAAATAAAATGGAGATGGCCACTGGATGCAGTGGTTCAGGCCTGTAATCCCAGCACTTTTGGAAGACAAGGTGGGAGGATTGCCCAAAGCTAGGAGTCAGAGACCTGCCTGGGCGACATTGCGAGACACTGTCTCTATTAAAAAAAAAAAAAAAAAATTAACAAGTTCCCCAGGCACTCCTGATGTGGTCCAGGGACACACTTTGGAAAGCTCTGCTCTGCTGGCAGCCATCTTCACAGACCCCCACCCACATCTTCTCAGCCTTGCCCCCATCAGCTCCCCTTCATCACCAAGCCTCTTGAAACAATCCCCTACAAACACTATCTTCATGTCCTTATCTCCTACTCTCTGTGTGTATGTATTTTCTCTGCAAGTTTTACCAGAGCAATCCATGTAAATAGTTTAAAGAGTCCAATAGTTCCATAGATTTATTGCAAAAACTAGCACGGATGCACCCTCCCCCTTTTCATGTCCAATTCCTGTTCTCCAGAGGAGACGACTTTTAACTTTTAGCTTTTTATCCCAGTATTTGCAAGTGCAGATTTAAACATCATGCCCATATTGTATTGCAATTCATAGATTTTTTTTAATGAGACCTTAAATTGCGTCTTTTATTGGACTAAAGAATATTGTAAGTCTCAAAATAGCTTCCTGTCCCAATCTCACCTCTGAAAGGACTTACTAATTTAAATATATCTACTATGAACTGAACAGTGTCCCCCCTAAATATGTTTAAGTCTTTTTTCTATTTTTTTTTTGAGACAGGGGCTTGCTCTGTCATCCAAGCTGGAGTGTAGTGGCACAATCATAGCTTGCTGCAGCCTTGACCTCCTGGGCTCAAGCGAGCCTCCCATCTCAGCACTCACCCCTCCCAGAGGCTGCCACCATGCCCAGCTAATTAGTTTTGTTTTAAATTTTAGTAGAGACCATATCTCACTATGTTGCCCAGGCTGGTCTTGAACCCCTGAGCTCAAGTGATCCTCCTGCCTTGGCCTCCCAAAGTGCTGGGATTATAGGCATGAGCCACCGTGCCCGGCTCATATGTTGAAGTCTTAATCATCAATGTGACTATATCTGAAGATAGATAGGGTCTTTAGGAAGTAATTAAAGTTAATGGGGTCATAAGAGTGGTGCCCGAATTCAATGGGACTGTGGCCTTATCAAAGGAGAAAGAGAGTTCTTTCTGTCTTCACTATGTGAGGACACAGCAAGAAGGCAGCCATCTGCAATCCAGAAAGGAGCCCTGACAAGGAACCAAGTTGTCCAGTACCTTAACCTTGGACTTCCCAGCCTTCAGAACTGTGAGAAGACAAATTACCATTGTTTAAGCCACCCAGTTTGTGGTATTTGCTATAGCAGTCCAAGGTGATTAAGACAGTATCCAATATCATGGAGGGATAAATTTTCTTTTCAAAACAAAACTAAAAATATTTTTTAATTCTAATTTTTAAAAATCAGTAAACTTCATTTTAGCAGTAATCATAAAATAAAATGCAAAGGAAATTCTCTAAGTTACATGACTCGAGAGAAAATATCCATATCTATTGTTTCTGTTGTTTAAAACATAATTTATCTAGAATTTGGCTCATAAGTTTTAAAACAAACTGTATGAAAATATGACAGTGCATTTACTGTTAACTCCTGCTTATGTTTTAGAAAGCTCTTATGGAAAGAAAAAAAAAATGCTTTCCAGGTAGCAGACACAGATAGGTTATTTGGGGAATTGATAACTAAAAATTAGAGTCTTATTTTTTATTTTTTATTTTTTTGAGACGGAGTCTTGTTCTGTTGCCCAGGCTGGAGTGCAGTGGTGCGATCTTGGCTCACTGCAACCTCTGCCTCCCAGGTTCAGGCAATTCTTCTGCCTCAGCCTCCCGAGTAGCTGGGATTACAGGCATGCACCACCACACCTGGCTAATTTTTTTTATTTTTAGTAGAGACGGGGTTTCACCATGTTGGCCAGGCTGATCTTGAACTCCTGACCTCAGGTGATCCACCGACCTCGGCCTCCCAAAGTTCTGGGATTATAGGCATGAGCCACCATGCCCAGCCTTAGAGGCTTTATTAGCATTCAAAACCATGGATGCAATGAAGTGTGGAGTACTCTTAAACAAGCTCCAAGTCCATGAAATGCCGTGTCAGAATTTTTCCTTTCCTTTTTGCATAGCAAAGTACTTGCACAATCCCAAATATTTGTCTTCCTGAGCAGCAGCTACAAAGATGATGCCACCAGGCTTGGCCAGGGTAGCTGCTGATTTTCCCTTCTTCCTCCTCCTCTTCTCCTCCTCCTTTTTCTTCTAATTCTTCCTCCTCTTCCTCTTCTCTCTCCCTCTCTGCTTTCTCCTCCGCCTTCTTATTTTCTTAACCATGATAAAATATACATAACTTACAATACATCATTTTAGCCATTTATAAGAGTAAAGTTTAGTATCATTAAGTACATTCATGTGGTTGTGCAACCATCCCTGGTAATTTCTTCTTGATTCTCTGTCCCGGAACTACTAAACTCAGGCTGGGTTTAGCATAATCGTTGCCTGTGTACTTGAAAAGTGGAGAGTTGCTGACCTCTGATGGGTAGCTTGGTCTTGCTGGGCAAACCCTTCTGGAAGCTGTTCTAGCACAGCTCAGCCACCACTTGCACGGACTCCTGCTGTGCTGGAGCTCTCCTGACACAGCTTTCCCAGCTGCACAGTCGTTGCTATGTAGAGGAACTAATACTTGAGCGACTATTTTCTTATAGTTGGATAACTCTGTTTCCTTATAAATATTTTTCTTTATAAATAGAGAGTGCTGTCCCATCAATCCTGCATCCTTATACTAGCAGTCCTGAGGCTTTTCCTAACTGTTCAGCTGCCTGTTGAGGCATTCCACATTTTTAAATGCATTGCTGTTTGTTGGTATAACCGTACAGCCTTTTCTGGGTCTACATTTTCTCTGAGCTTTCCAGCTTGCTCCAATGCCTCTGAGGTTGCTGTGTCAGTGCTGCTGTTTTTTAGATCCATCAAAGGCTGGGATTTCTGCATTTCCTTCAACATTGTGTCAACTAGGTTGGGCGCGGTGGCTTACGCTTGTAATCCCAGCACTTCGGGAGACTGAGGTGGGCGGATCACTTGAGGTCAGGAGTTCATGGCTAACATGGTGAAACCATCTCTACTAAAAATATAAAAGTTAGCCGGGCGTGGTGACGTGTGCCTGTAGTCCCAGCTACTCAGGAGGCTGAGGCAGGAGAATCACTCAAACCCAGGAGGCGGAGGTTGCAGTGAGCCGAGATCACACCACTGCACTCCAGCCTGGGCAAAAAGAGTGAAACTCCATTTAAAAAAACAAAACAAAACAAAACAAAAACAAGAAAACATTGTGGCAATTTGCTCAGAAGCGCTACTTTTCCATATTCAGAAGGGCACTGTCACAGTACGGCTTCCATTTTGAAAAACCAGTCTGCAGGTATTTCTTTGCTTTGGGCCTCTCATTTCTTTTTTGGTCCTGCACATGGTCCTGCATGGAGGACAGGAGGGACTTTTCCTTTTGGCCCCTGAAAGAGTCCCAGTCAGCTATGCATAGGTTTTTCATTTCGGACATCATCCATTTACTTATTCATGGTCTCTCTCCCTTATTTGAATATAAGCTCTGTATCAACTTTTCAATCACTGTATCCCATGCCTGGCACATCATGTGGCCCACAGAAGGTTCTTAAGGAATATGTTTGAATAAATGAATGAGAAGGCCTGGATGCAGAGAGTGTATATCAGAGAGAAACCCAGACTAATCCCCCAGATTCTTCTCTAATCCATTCCCAGTGCTACCACTTAATCTAGTATGTTATACTAGAAGAGTAAATAAATGAAAGTAAGAAAGACAGGAAGGAAGGAGGGAAAGAAGGAAGGAAGGGAGGGAGGGAGGAAGAAGGAAGGAAGGAAGTAAAGAAGGGAGGAAGGAATTAAAGAAGAAAGGAAGGAAGAGAAAGAAAGAAAAAGAAAGAGAGAGAAAGAAAGAAAGAAGGAAAGAGAGAGAGAGAGAGAGAGAGGGAGGGGGGAGGGGAGGGGAGGGGAAAGGAGGGGAGGGGAAGAAATCTTCCCAAGGACTTTTCCCCCTAGTATCTCCTTGTGTCTCTTTACAAACTGCCTAACTCATCAACTTTCACCACCTGAAGAGGCTGGAAAAAAGCTGGCCTCCTGTGAATTTTACACCCCGGTGCTCTCAGATGGTGGATGAGAACCTGCAGGCTCCCTTCAGGCAGGGATCGTGTGCTGAACGTCCCAAAGAGTGATGGGGGACTTGCACCAGAGTGTCTCTGCTCAAGCTGCCCTCCTATGACCTCCTTGTCACTTCCACCCAGACAAGGGGATTCTTCTGATCAGTCCAGATGACCTGGATGAAGTTTTCTTTCTTTCTTTCTTTTTTTTTTTTTTTGAGACAGAGTTTTGCTCTTGTTGCCCAGGCTGGAGTGCAATGGCACGATCTCGGCTCACTGCAACCTCTGCCTCCTGGGTTCACGCAATTCTCTTCCCTCAGCATCCTGAGTAGCTGGGATTATAGGCATGCACCACCACACCTGGCTAATTTTGTATTTTTAGTAGAGACGGGGTTTCTCCATGTTGGTCAGGCTGGTCTCGAACTCCCAACCTCAGGTGATCTGCCCGCCTTGGCCTCCCAAAGTGTTGGGATTACAGGCGTGAGCCACTGTGCCTGGCCCTGGATGAGGTTTTCAAACAACACACTTTCCCCTAATCTGATGAGACCCAACTATCCTTAGTGTTATAACACACACAGAGATAATGTGGAGCCTCCTTAACATAGGTTAGATTTTATTTCACCTAGGCAAGTACAGTTCCAAAAAACATTATGGCAGAAAGGACAAGGTGCCAAGAAGATCGATCAAATGACTCATGCACTACAGAAGCACAGCTGAATCAGCAACCGGGCCCTTAGCTGCGGAGGAAACTGCAAATGCTGAGCCTCTGAAATACATGATTCCAAATAAAAGGTAACGACACCAGCAGTTCTGCTGATGTAAAGGAAACAAGAAAGACATATGCACGATGCTCCTAATTAAATATCAAAAATGTAAAGTAGGTGTCGTATTTGACTAAAAATTGATATTTTTCAGGAAGGACTATGCCCCCAGGGCCCACTGTAGCCTTTGAGACCATGGTGGAGTCTGTGTCCACAATGGCCTCAACCACAGGCTCTGAGAGTACCTCAACCTCTGAGATCATCGCCATCTCCACCATGGACTCTGAGACCTCCATAGGCTCAGAAGCCACCACAACTATTGTTGCAGCCTCTGAGGTTACCACACCCTCCACCACAGCATCTGTGCCACTGTGGCCTCAACCACCGGCTCTGAGAGCAGCACGGCCTCTGAGATCATCACGTCCTCTACAATGTCTGTGTCAGCCACAGCCTCCAGCACAGCCTCCAGCACAGCCTCTGAGATCACCATGAGCTCTGCAGCCATCCCAGTCTCCTCCACAGCTTATGAGACCATCAGGTTCTCCACTGCAGTGTCTGAGCCAGTGACAGCCTCTATCCTGGCCCTTGAGTCCACCCTGGCCTTCACCACGGTCTCTAACACCACCACATCTTCCACAGTAACATCTGTGCCCACCACAGCTTCCACCTCAGGCTCTAAGAACACAACAGCCTGTGAGGCCACCATGTCTGAAACTACCATTGCTGCCATCACAGCCTCCGAGGACACCACAGTCTCCACTCAAACCTCTGTGATAGCTGCAGAGTCTGTGCCCCACACAGCCACCAAAACACCTACTGACACCACCACAGCATCTGTGTCCGCCACAGTCCCCAAGAACAACACACTCTCTGTGATAACATCTACACCTTCCACAGCTCCCAACACAGCCTCTAAAACCATGACCACAGCTTCCAAGACCACCACGACCTCTACGATAACATCTCTGCCCACCACAGTCTTCACCACAACCTCTAAAATCACCGCAGGCTCTGAGATCCCCACAGCCTCCACCACAGACTCTGCGACCACTGCAATCTCCACAAAAGCCTCTGGGACAACTGTAGAGTCTGCGCCCTCTACAGCCCCTCCAACACCTGCTGAGACCACCACAGCATCTGTGCCCACCACAACCTCTACCACAGGCTCTGAGAACACCGGACACCACACAGTATCATCTGTGCCCACCACAGTCTTCGCTACAGCCTCTGAAAGCAGCACAGGCTCTGAGACCACCAGAGCTTCCACCTCTGCCACTGAAGTGACTACAGCCATGACCACAGCCATGACCACAGGTTCTGAGACTGCTGTGGTCTCCACCAAAGCTCCTGTGACAACCACACAGTCTGGGTTCTCCACAGCCACCGTAATGCCTGCTAAGACCACTACAGCGTCTGTGTCCACCACAGCCTCCACCACACTCTATCAGAATACTATAGACTCCGTGGCCAAGTCTGTGCCCACCATGGACTCTACCATAGCCTCCAAGAGCACCACTCTCTCCAAGATAGTATCTGTGCCTACTGCAGTCTTTATCAAAGCGCCTGAAACCACCACAGGCTCTGAGATCACTCTGGCTTCCATCATAACCTCAGGAACCACTGCAGTCTGTGACTACATTGGCCTCTAGCAAAGATTCCGAGATCCCCACAGCCTGGATGATAACCTCTGTGCCTACTGTAGCTCCCACCTCAGCCTCTGAAACTACTGAGGACTTCTCCACAGCCTCTGAGTCCACCACATCCTCTTTCAAAATATTTGTGTCCACCACATCCTAGCCTCCACTATGGCCTTTGAGGCCACATCAACCTCTGAGACCCCCACTACCTCCACAATAGTATCTGTGCCCACAACAACCTCCAAAATAACCTCTGAGAACACTGCAGGATTTTTATCCATGATGGGCTCTGAGACCACCACAGCCTCCACTACAAGATCTGAGACCACTACAGCCACTGAAACCTCCACGGCTTCCCTCACAGATTCTGAGACCCCCAGTGCCTCCATAATAGTATCTATGCCCACAACCGCCTCCTCCACAGACTCTGAGACCACCACAGCCTCCACTGCAATATCCACGAGCAACATGGCTGTGAGCACAGCCTCTGAGGTCACTTCAGGGTCTGGAAGCAGCATGGCTTCCACCACAGGCTCTGAGGCCACCATGCCATCCACAGCAGCATCTGTGACCTCCACAGCCTTCGCTTTGGCCTCATCGCCCTTCTTGGCCTCTACCACAGCCTCTGGGGCCACTGCAACCTCCACCACTGTCTCTGCCACTTTCGTGCCCAACAAGGTCACTGACATTTCTACTCAGACCATCACCAAAACAGTTGTGTCAGGTACTAACCCCCATGTCTTCTCTGATCACACACATTTTAATTCCAATGGCAACCACTAGCTCTTCACCTGTTTCTATCATCTCTGCCCTGTCTCAAGTCAAGCCTGTACACTGTTAGGTATCATTTCCTGGAGGGCCCCTAGAGGCGAGGTTGAGAGTGTGACCCATGAGGAGATGTACTACACTCGAAAAGAACTGCTTGAATTTTCTAATTTATATAAACAGAAATCTGGAGAACAGGCATTAGAATGGATATGAAGGGTGTGGGATAATGGTGGAAGGAACATAGAGTTAGGTCAGGCTGAATTTATTGATTTGGCCCCACTAAATAGGGACTCTGCATTTAATGTTGCAGCTTGGGGAGTTAAAAAGGGTTCTAATAGTTTATTTGCTTAGTTAGCTAAAATATGGATTAAAAGATGGCCCACTGTGAGCAAGCTGATCTCCCTTGGTTTAATGTAAATGAAGGGATCCAAAGGCTTAGGGAGATTGGGATGGTGGAGTGGATTAGTCAATTTAGACCTACTCATCCCAGCTGGGAGGGTCCAGAAGATATACCCTTGATGATGCTTTGCAAAATACATTTGTGAGGGCAGCACCTGCATATCTGAAGAGCCCTATAATTGCTCTTCTCTGTATGTCAGATCTAACAGTGGGAACCGCCGTCAGTCAACTGCAAAATTTAAATACAATGGGAATAATTGGATCCAGAGGTGGCAGGGGCCAAGTGGTAGCACTCAAACATCGAAGGCAATGTGGGTGTAGGTACCATAATGGACAGCAGAGGCAAAGTGGCAATCAGAATAGTCCAACTCATGCAGAGCTCTGGCATTGGCTAATTAATCACAGTGTTCCTAGAAGTGAAATTGATAGGAAGCCTATTGCATTCCTATTTAATTTATACAAGCAGAGAACTTCTAGGCTGAATGGACAAAAGACTAATTTGAATTATAAAAACAGAATCACGGCCCCTCAACCAATTTCCAGACTTGAGCCAGTTCACAGACCCAGATCCCCTTGAATGAACGGGAGGCCGGGTCCCCTTGAGGAAGGACCCCACTACATTACCAACAATTTGTGCAGTGAATCTTTCTCCCATCCTTCCCCAAGACCTCTGGCCTTTTACCAGGGTAACTGTGTATTGGGGAAAGGGAAATGATTAGACATTTTGGGGACTACTGGACACTGGCTCTGAGCTGGCGTTGATTCCAGGAGACCCAAAATGTCATTGTGGCCCTCCAGTTAAAGTATGGGCTTATGAGTCCGGGAGTGGTGGTTCATGCCTGTAATCCCAGCATTTTGGAAGGCCAAGGCAGGTGGATCACGAGGTCAGGAGTTCGAGACCAGCCTGGCCAAAATAGTGAAACCCTCTCTACTAAAAATACAAAAATTAGCCACGTATGGTGGTGCACGCCTGTAGTCCCAGCTACTTGGGAGGCTGAGGCAGGAGAATAGCTTGAACCTGGGAAGTGGAGGTTGTGGTGAGCCAAGATCTGCCACTGCACTCCAGCCTGAGCAACAGAGTGAGACTCCGTCTCAAAAAAAAAAAAAAAAAAAAAAAAGTAGGCGTTTATAGAAGTCAGGTAATTAATGGAGTTTTAGCCCAGGTCTGACTTATAGTGGGTCCCGTGGGTCCCTGGACTCATCCTGTGATCATTTCCTCAGTGCCAGAATGCATAATTGGCATATACTTAGCAGCTGGCAGAACCCCTGCATTGGCTCCATGACTGGTAGGGTGAGGGTTACTATGGTGGAAAAGGCTGAATGGAAGCCATTAGAGCTGCCTCTACCTAGAAAAATAGTAAATAAAAAAAAAAATCACATCCCAGGAGGGACTGCGGAGATTAGTGCCACCATCAAGGACTTGAAAGACACAGGGGTGGTGATTCCCACCATATCCCCATTCAGTTCTCCCATTTGGCCTGTGCAGAAGACAGATGAATCTTGGAGAAGGACAGTGGATTATCGTAAGCCTAACCAAGTGGTGATTCCAATTACAGTTGCTGTACCCGATGTTGTTTCATTGCTTGAGCAAATTAACTCATCTCCTGGTACCTAGTATGCAGCCATTGACTTGGCAAATGCCTTTTTCTCCATTCCTGTCCATAGGCCCACCAGAAGTAATTTGCCTTCCGCTGGCAAGGCCAGCAATACAGCTTTACTGTCCTGTCTCAGGGGTATATCAACTCTCCGGCTTTGTGTCATAATCTTATTCAGAGAGAGCTTGATCACTTTTTGCTTCTGCAAGATATCATACTGGTCCATTACATTGATGATATTATGCTGATTGGGTCCAGTGAGCAAGAAGTAGCAAACACACTGGACTTATTGGTGAGATATTTGTGTGCCAGAGGATGGGAAATAAATCTGACTAAAATTCAGGGAGCTTCTACCTCAGTAAAATTTCTAGGGGTCCAGTGGTGTGGGGCCTGTCAAGATATCCCTTCTAAGGTGAAGAAGTTGCTACATTTGGCCCCTCCTACAACCAAGAAAGAAGCACAACGCCTAGTGGGCTTACTTGGATTTTGGAAGCAACACATTCCACATTTGAGTGTGTTACTCCAGCTCATTTATTGAGTCACCCGAAAGGCTGACAGTTTTGAGTGGGATCCAGAACAGGAGAAGGCTCTGCAATACGTCCAGGCTGCTATGCAAGCTGCTCTGCCACTTGGGCCATATGACCCAGCAGATCCAATGGTGCTTGAGGTGTCAGTGGCAGATAGGGATGCTGTTTGGAGCCTTCGGCAGGCCCACATAAGTGAATCACAGCAGAGGCCTCTAGGATTTTGGAACAAGTCCCTGCCATCTTCTGCAGATAACTACTCTCCTTTTGAGAGACAGCTCTTGGCCTATTACTGGGCTTTGGTGGAAACTGAACATTTGACTATCAGTCATCAAGTCACCATGTGACCTGAACTACCTATCATGAACTGGGTGCTTTCTGATCCATCTAGCTATAAAATGGGTCGGTGTGCGGCAGCATTCCATCATCAAATATAAGTGATATACACATGATCGGGCTCAAGCAGTTCCTGAAGGCACAAGTAAGTTACATGAGGAAGTGGCTCAAATGCCCATGGTCTCCACTCCTGCCACCCTGCTTTCTCTTCCCCAGCTTGTACCGATGACCTCATGGGGAGTTCCCTATGATCAGTTGACAGAGGAAGAGAAGACTAGGGCCTGGTTCACAGATGGTTCTGCACAATATGGAGCACTAACCGAAAGTGAACAGTTGCAGCACTACAGCCCCTCTCTAGGACATCCCTGAAGGACAGCGGTGGAGGGAAATATTCTCAGTGGGCAGAACTTCAAGCAGTGCACTTGGTTCTGCACTTTGCATGGAAGGAGAACGGTCAGATGTGTGATTATTTACTGATGCATAATCAGTAGGGGGTTTGGCTGGATGGTCAGGGACTTGGAAGAAGCACGATTGGAAAATTGGTGACAAAGAAATGTGGGAAAGAGTTATGTGGATGGACCTCTCTGAGTGGTCAAAAACTGTGAAGATATTTGTATCTCATGTGAGTGCTCACCAACAGATGACCTCAGCAGAGGAGGATTTTAATAATCAAGTGGATACGATGACCCGTTCTGTGGATACCATTCAGCCTCTTTCCCCAGCCAACCCTGTCATCACCCAATGGGCCCATGAGCAAAGTGGCCGTGGTGTCAGGGATGGAGGTTATGAATGGGCTCAGCAACATGGACTTCCATTCACCAAGGCTGACCTGGCTATGGCCACTGCTGAATGCCCAATTTGCCAGCAGCAGAGACCAACACTGAGCCCTCAGTATAGCACCATTCCTCAGGATGATCAGCCAGCTGATTACTGGATTACTGGCTGGACTTCTTTCATCATGCAAAGGGCAGAGGTTTGTCCTCACTGGAATAGACACTTACTCCTGATATGGGTTTGCCTATCCTGCATGCAATGCTTCTGCCAAGACTACCATCGTGAAGTCACAGAATGCCTTATCCACCATCATGGTTCCACACAGCATTACCTCTGGCCAAGGCATTCACTTTACAGCTAAAGAAGGGTGGCAGTGGGCTCATGCTCATGGAATTTACTGGTCTTATGTTCCCCATTATCCTAAAGCAGCTGGATTGATAGAACGGTGGAATGGCCTTTTGAAGTCACAATTACGACATCAACTAGGTGACAATACTTTGCAGGGCTGGGGCAAAATTCTCTAGAAGGCTGTGTATGCTCTGAATCAGTGTCCATTGTATGGTACTGTTTCTCCCATAGCCAGCATTCCTGGGTCCAGGAAGCAAGGGATGGAAGTGGAAGTGGCACCACTCACCATCACCCCTAGTGATCCACTAGCAAAATTTTTGCTTCCTGTTCCTGTGACATTACATTCTGCTGGCCTAGAGGTCTTAGCTCCAGAGGGAGGAACGCTGCCACCAGGAGACACAACAACAATGCCATTAAACTGGAAGTTAAAATTGCCACCTGGACACTTTGGGCTCCTTCTACCTTTACGTTAACAGGCTTAGAAGGGAGTTACAGTGTTGGCTGCTGTGACTGACCTAGACTATCCTGATGAAGTCAGTCTACTACTCCACAACGGAGGTAAGGAAAAGTATGCATGGAATACTTGAGATCCATTAGGGCGTCTCTTAGCATTACCATGCCCTGTGATTAAGGTCAGTGGGAAACTACAACAGCCCAATCCAGGCAGGACTACAAATGACCCAGACCCTTCAGAAATGGAAGTTTGGGTCACTCCACCAGGAAAAAACCATGACCTGCTGAGATGCTTGCTAAAGGGAAAGGGAATACAGAATGGGTAGCAGAAGAAGGTAGCCATCAATACCAACTATGACTGCGTGACCAGCTGCAGAAAGAGCACTGTAATTGTCATGAGTATTTCCTCCTTCTTTTGTTAAAAACACGTTTGTACATGTATACACTTGTACTAAGAAAATATCTTCATTTTATTTCCTTTCTCCTTTATTATGTGATGTAAGATTTATTGACTTCACATCAGCATTTAAGTATTATTAACTTTGCGTAATAGCATATGGGCTGGGGATTGGTGCGTTTCCGGTTGTATGAAGGATAGTTGTATTATGTTGGGCATAATTATGACCTTATTATTGTCTTTATTTGAAGATTATGTATAATCTCAGGAGATGCGCATGGGTTCAAGTTGACAAGGGGTGGACTTATGATGGTTAATACTGAGTGTCAACCTGATTGGACTGAAGGACACAAAGTATTGATCGTGGGTGTGTCTGCGAGGGTGTTACCAAAGGAGATGAACATTTGAGTCAGTGGCCTCAGAAAGGCAGACCCACCCTTAATCTGGGTGGCACAATCTAATCAGCTGCCAGAGTGGCTAGAATTTAAGCAGGCAGAAAAATGTGAAAAGAGAGACTGGCCCAGCCTCCCAGCCTACATCTTCCTCCCGTGCTGGATGCTTCCTCAGTTTTGGAACTCGGACTGGCTCTCCTTTCTCCTCAGCCTGCAGACGGCCTATTGTGGGGCCTTGTGATCATGTGAGTTAATATTTAATAAACTCCGCTTTATATATATTCCATCAGTTCTGTCGCTGTAGAGAACCCTGACTAATACACCCCTCTTCCAACATTGGAGATTACAATTTGACATGAGATTTGGGCAGGGACACAAATCCAAATCATATCACCTTGCTCCAGTCTAAGACCAAACAATTATGTTCATTCTCTGGCACTTTCCATCAGCAAGCCGGTTGCATCTGATTCTATCCTCTTCGTTCTGAGCACCCTCACCTCTATTCTGGTGACTGGTGCTGTTTGGGATCCTATTTTCACCACTTCTGACCTAGGCACACCCATTGCTATCAAAGCCACCACCACTGCCTCTGCTGTGTTGATTCTCACTCGCACCTGTCTGAGCCCACCCTCTCCTGTCCCTGTGAGCAGCCTTCTCCACTTGGGTCAGGTCCTCCCACATCTGCCCAAGCACACTCACCCCACCTTTGCTGACCACCACAGTGTGGTAGATGATGTCACCTCCGTCCCAGCCACGGCCACTGGCATGCCCATGAATGAATCCAATTCTGTCATCTCCTCCTCCAGCTCCCTCCTTACACCCAGTGATCACAGTCACAAAAGAAGCAGGGCCTGCCACTTTGTATACAAGCCCGCCCTCTTCTATTTGGGTGGCCACTTCCGAAGTCAAATAGATCTTCCACTTCCATACCCATCACGGTCACGTTTCCTCAACCTTCTGCCTCCTCCATCACCAACTCCACCAGGTGACACATTCTACCTCCTCCTCTGTACGACACCCACCTCTATTGTGAGGACACGGCCACAGAGGAATGGCTTTCTACCATCTCTCCTCCCCCACCACCCCTCTCCTGAGCTACTCTCACCATAGACATGTTAGATTCACCCCGCTCTGCTCTAAGCGCTCCCACTCCCCTTTAATTATCTCTGCTATGAATGCATCATGTTGTGTGACCCCTGGAACCAGTCCTACCGCCCCTAGCTCTGTCACCATGGCCCCTGGAATGGACTCCATGGCCTCTGCTGCAGCCATCCTGTGACGGGAATAGTCTCAAACACCTCTGACCTGGGTACATCCACTATGGGAGCATCATCTACCACCTCAGCCCCCAGCTTCAGGACCACTACAGGATCCACCCGTGAGCCAACCAGCAACACCTCCCAGTAAACAGGCCCAATGTCCACAGGCACAAATACAGTTAGCGTGAGCCACACATCCAAACATGTGATCAAACTGAGTGGACATTTACAGCCCCAGGCCATCATGCTCATTTCCCTGGCTGTAGTCATGGTTGGTGTTGGATTGTCAGTAGGACTGAGGTTTTGCCTGTGAGTGACTGAGCATGGAAATGGGCAGAGCTTTCCTGAGAAGATAGATCACGAGGAGGATTAGAATTGACGGAAGAAGGGCCACTAGACTATTAGCATGGAGAGGGGTCTGGAGAGTCACTTGTACCCTAGTCCAATCGACCAAGAGTGCAGGAGCAAATGTATAGTCCCATGAAGTCAGATTTATCAGTTAGTTGCAAAATGGGAGGCTGTATACCAGGGAGCTGAGGAGCTTCTCACCAAACAACGGAAATGTCATTACAGTATTGGGGGAAATGTCATTATAGTATTGGGGGAAATGTCATTATAGTATTGGAGGAAAGTGTGGATTTTTGGTGAAATTTAAATGAAAGAATTTTAAAAGGCTCAAAAGAAAGCAGGGCTGTTTGTAAAGGGGTCACCGGCAGCTTGAAACTGTGAAATAGATTGTTTCCTTGGAAACTACAGTTAAAATGAACGTGGAATGTTGTATTCAGAGAAACCCCTTATCTGTACCCCAGTTGGAATTGGAGGCTGCTTCTCTGTGTCAAAGTCACTTAGAGTTTCCAGACAAGAATGGGATATTTCCTTCTCACTGATTTAGAATCAAACAGCAAATTTGTAATAGTCTGCGATTTTAGAGAATGAAATTTTTCATTGGCTAAATCACTGCAAGTGAGTAGGTCACTGGAAGTGAGTAAGGGCTGTGATACTTCACAGCTGCAGTGCGCCCTGGGGAAAAATATTCCTCTCAGTGCCCCTCACAGCTGGCCACCTATGCTGTTATGCATCTACCTCCTGATGGACAGCGGCCGACTGCTGCTTTCGCAGTCTGATTTTTACTGTCTCACATAGTGTAGTATAAAGACCAGGGAGAAGGAGAAAGACAGAAAATATAAACGATAGATATAGCAGGAAGAAAAAAAGAAGAAGAAGAAGAAGAAGAGGCCGGGCGTGGTGGCTCACACCTGTAATCCCAGCACTTTGGGAAGCCAAGGCAGGAGGATCACCTGAGGTCAGGAGTTCGAGAGAAGCCTGACCAAAATGGTGAAACTCCATCTCTACTAAAAATACAAAAATTAGCCGGTGTGGTGGTAGGCACCTGTAATCCCAACTACTCGGGAGGCTGAGGCAGGAGAACTTCTTGAACCCGGGAGACAGAGGTTGCAGTGAGCCGAGATCGCGCCACTGCACTCCAGCCTGGGCTATAAGAGTGAAACTCCATCTCAAAAAAAAAAAGAGGAAGGGGGCCCCAAGTGAGAGGAAAGTGTCTGGGTATGAATAGGAGAGCATTGAGAATATGATGGAAAATGTGTCTTATAAAATAGCTGGGAATGTAACACTAGAAAAAACATCTTTGGAAAGTGATGAACATTTAGGTCCTCAACAGGTTTTTCACTTTCAAGACAGACAAAATCATAAGCTCCTTCCAGGGTGAGAGTGGGGCATGTCCCACCTCATGCCTTTATGATTTTACCCAAGTGAAAACAAATTCACTTTTCTAGGTACCTCTTAGCACAACTCAAATAGGCTAGAGATTTCAAAACTTCATGAAACACTAAGGGAAGTTGACAAAGAAATGCCCTTCTGGAGAATGGAGGCTGTAGAAACGCTCCCCCTGGTGTAGGGGAGGGTTTGACGTTCCAGAGGCCCCAGCCCTCCGCAGTTCTTGGTGCCAATGTGACAGCCACTGGCCAGCAGCAGACTGTGTTCTATTGTCCATCCTGGTCTTAATCTTCTATTCAAATGTATTTCTCTTGTTCTATTTTAAGAAATAGAACATTTATATTTTCCCATTTTGGCTTTATGTATTCCTGTATGCAGTCTTGTAAATTTGTAGGAGGAGCCAGAGTGAGTACACAATACATAAATGAGAAATTCACACAAGCCACAAACAGTTAACATAATTTACAATCAACTTACCTGAGTTTCTTATTTCAGAGTCTCTGACCCCTCCCTAAGGGAAGAACAATATGTGACTCACCAGCCATGAGCAACCCCCTAAATGTTTAAGATAAAGATGTAATATTAGTTAACTAGCATTTTATTAGCTATCTACTAGGTATGAGGTCCAGGGCCCAGAGTGCTTAGAGGGCATCATCTCTCCTTTGCTCTGCTCAACCACCCTTGGGGATGCGTACTCCTATTATCCCATTTTATAGACTAGAAAACTGGAAGCAGAGACATAAGTAACTTGCTGAAGACCACAGGACAAGGCCACGCAGAGCTAGGCTCTAATTCTGGTCCGCTTGACAGCAGAGCCTGTGTTCTTAGCCAGAGTGTTTGTTTGTTTTTTTGAGCCGAAGCCTCACCCTGTTGCCCAGGCTGGAGTGCAATGGCACAATCTCGGCTCACTGCAACCTCCACCTCCCGGGTTCAAGCAATTCTCCTGCCTCAGCCTCCTGAGTAGCTGGGATTACAGGCATGTGCCACCATGCCCGGCTAATTTTTTGTATTTTTAGTAGAGATGGGGTGTCACCATGTTGGCCAGGCTGCTCTCGAACTCCTGACCTCATCATCTGTCCACATCGGCCTCCCAAAGTGCTGGGATTACAGGCGTGAACCACCGCACCTGGCCCACAGTGTTTTTTAGATAGTTCTCCAACCTTTAGCTCTTTATGGCCTGTCTCTTATTTTTCTTTATCTTTAAAAATTGAGGTGTAATTCTTACCAATAAAAAATGATAAGTATGCAAGGCAATAGATATGTTAATTTGATTTAATAATTTCAAAATGTATACATATATCAAAACATCACATTGTACACCATAAGTATATGCAATATTTATTCACCAGCTTTGAAAGTGGGAAAAACACAAACTGTGTTTCCTCTGCTCTCACACCACCACCAACACAAAACACTTCTGGTGACCAAATTAAGAGGGGAAGTTCTTCCCACACTAAGCAAGCAATCAGTTCTGCAGCAGACACCAGCTCGGTGTCCTCCGATTCAGTGCTGGCACTGCCTACCTGGAGATAGCATCAGATCCACAGACTAAGCGCGCAGTCCCTCAACACCAACCGCTCCTTCCCACAGGCTGCCAAGTCCAGGCCTCTGGAACTTCTGACCAACTGGAGCAAGTTGGAGTTGGCTACTCCTGTTTGGTTTCGATTAATTTGCAGGAGTGGCTGACTGAACTCAGGGAAACACCTTTACTGGTTTATTACAAAGGATATTACAAAGGATACAGGTGAAGAGGCGTGGAGGGAGAAGGAGCAGGGAGCTTCCATGCCCTCCCCAGCACTCCATCCTCCAGGAACCTCCATATGTTTTCTGAGCCCTGGCCTTTGGGGTTTTTACAGAGGCTTCATTATGTAGGTATACCTGATTAAACCATGGCCACTGGTAATCAACTTAACCTTCAGTCCCCTCTCCTCCCTGGAGGTTAAGGGTTAAGGGGTGGTGCTTTGGTCTTTCCGGTGATTAGCCCCCATCCTGTAGCCAACAGTTGACTCATTCGCATACAAAAAAAAAAATCACTTTTCAGTACCTAAGGATTTTAGGAGCTGCATGCCAGGAAATGTGCAGAAGTCCAAATATATGTTTCACGTATCAACTTAATACAGTTGGGAGAAAGGTTAAAAGTTAAATTACACTTAAAAATAAAAAGAACAGCCGGGCGCAGTTCTGTAACCTCAACACTTTGGGAGGCTGAGGCGGATGGATCATCTGAGGTAAGGAGTTCAAGACCAGCCTGGCCAACATGGGGAAACCCTGTCTCTACTAAAAATACAAAAATTAGTCGGGTATGGTGGCTTATGCATGTAATCCCAGCTATTCTGGAGGATGAGGCAGGAGAATTGCTTGAACCTGGGAGGCAGAGGTTGCAGTGAGCCGAGATCGTGCTACTGCACTCCAGCCTGGGTAGCAGAGCAAGACTCTGTCTCAAGAAATAAAAAAAAAATAAAAAGAACAATATTAATTGAAAAAAATAAATACTGTTCACAGATGAAAAAATTTTGAACTATAATTTACAAAAGTACACAAATATTATTTGTACAGCTTGATTAATTTCAAAATGTGTTAACACTTGTACAACCATTACCCAACTTAAAATGTAGAATATTTCTACCATCTGAGTAGTTTATTTTGTGGCCCTTCCCAGATAATACCCACTCCATCAAAGGTAAGCACTATTCTAGCTTCTATTTTATGAACTTTAAAAAAAATTTTTCATTTTAATTTTTGGATGGGGTCTCACTCTGTCACCCAGGCTGGAGTCCAGTGGTGCCGTCTTGGCTCACTGCAGCTTCTGTCTACCCAGAGATAGAGCTGGGTTCAAGTGATCCTCTCGCTTTGGCCTCCCAAAGTACTAGGATTACTGGCATGAGCCACTGTACCTGGCCTTATGAACTTTTATTTATTTTTACCTGACCTCATAGACATGCAACCTTTTTGGTTGATTTACACAATAAAAGATTCCCTACTCTTAGCTGACTCTGTTCCCAGGTACAGGATGCAAATTTACCTTGTCTTGTTTTTTTTATTTTTGTAGAGATGGGGTTTCACCATGTTGCCCAGGCTGGTCTCTGGAATGCCTGGGCTCAAGCAATCCACCTACCTCAGCCTCCAAAAGTTTTGGGATTACAGGCACGAGCCACCATGCCCAGACTTATCTTGTCTTGAAAGTTGAGCAGCATAGATCCCTACCAAGGTACAAGTATACTAATTAGGAAGACTGTTTTCTCCAATAAATAAATAAATAAGAGGAAGAGAGTCCTAAATATCATCCACACACACACACACACAGGAAGACTTGATGAGAAAATAGACAATATTGAAAAGTGAATATTTATGAATTTTGATAATCCAAGGTTTAATGATAAGAAAGAAAAGGAGTTAACTACTAATATATATATTTTTCTCTTTTAGAAGGATCTTTCTTTACCCTGACAAATAGAGGCATTTATAACCTCCATGACAACAGCCTTGACCTTGGTTTATACCTGGACTCAGTCCTGGGCTCTGGGACATTCCACAGCCTGGGAAATGCACTCATTCATGGAGGGGGACTTGAGATGGGACACACAGGAACACATGGCTTTGGACATGGAGTGGGCCATGAGCTGAGCCACAGCCATGGAGATGGCTGTGGAGTGAATCATGGTGGGCGTTATGGACTTGGAGGAGGCTACAGCAATAATCATGAAATGCATCACAGAGAAGGTCGCCAAGGCAAAGGAGAGTATAGACATAGACTGGATAATGGAAGGTGCTATGGAAAAGAAAATCTTGGGGAAGAAGGGGGATCATGGAGGAGAAGGTAGTGACCATAAAATGGGTCAGGATGGGCTTCTCTGAGGTCTCCAAGGGATTGGCCATAGAGATGGTCATGATCAAAATCAAGAAAAGAACCAGAGAAAAGAGCACAGAGGGTTTGGCCAACGGGACAGTCAGAAAAATAGGGAGTGGTTCTGGAGGAGACCTGCAGCCTCACCAGCTTTGGGTGTGAGCTCAAGTGAAAATATCCCCTGAGCATAACCATGGTTCCAACTCTTGTGGGGAGGAGGGGTCACGATGATCAAGCTCAGAACAATTTCTCTTTGATCTCTCAACACACAAGTCAGAACTCTTTAGGCTTTGGCTTTCTATCGTTTCCTCAGGATGGAACCTGACCAGTAGGAGGAAGAATAAGATTATCACAGTTTATAATAATGGAGTGGGTAAAAAATTTCCCCTGAGAATTTGTAATTACACAACTTTCTTTATTTGGATTTGTAACTTCAAACTCTACAAACTGAGTAGATCAGAAAATCCTGTTAGACTCACTCAGTGCCCTCCAGTTCTTCATCTTTGGGAAGAGTCTCCCTCCCTACTTCTTTGCCTCTTTCAAATGCTATGTGATAAGTTAGAAGAAATTTACTGGGACAGTGCTACAAATTAAAATCTCAAAATACACCTGGCATCTATGTATTTATGTATTTATGTTTGTCTTTTTTATTTTCCCTTTGTCCTTTATTATTGCATGCTTATTAAGTGCCAAACACTATGCTAGTGCCTGTAAATACATCACCATTTATTTCTCAAAACAATCCAATGACAACTTAAACTTCTTGCTATATAATGGACTACGTGCCCTGACTGAAAATACACTGTAAAGCTAAGTTATGGACTTCAAAATCTTCTTAAAAGAGTCAGTGAATTGGCATGAAAGTATGGAATGCTAAAATTAAAGACTAAATAGGACCCAGGAGGTAAGGGAAGTACTGAAGCCAACTTTTGCAAAACCCAAAGAACTTAAGCTTCGGGTATTACAGCTTCAGCTGGATCAGCCCAAGGTCATGGGTGGGGAGGAATCACATAAATCTGTAACTTTCAGTGAGAATGTAAACTAAAAATAAACCTGCCCCTCCTCTAAGGAAATGTAAGCAAAATTGCCTGTCTCTAAATTTGGTGCAGAGGAGGGTAGAGGGAGTATCCCTTGAGAAATAAATTGTAACCACAACAACCAACAATACCTTACTTACATGGTTTGTAGCCACAAATCATGCAGTCTAGGTAATTCAAAAGACCGCAATCCTATAGTTTAGCTTAAAATAATCATCAAATTATACAGCATATATATGTATTAAAACATTAAATTGTACCCCATAAGTATATACAGTAACAATGTTAATAAAATATTTTAATTAAAAATATAATAATAAAATAATCCTCAAATGGTAATGTCTCCATATGCTTGGAAAAAACATGCAAATTCTCTGTGAAAGATCGTAGCTTAATCTGTAATTCCAGAAATTTGGGAGGCCGAGGCAGTAGGATTGCCTGAGCCCAGAAGGTCAAGGCTGCAGTGAGTTATGCTAGTGCCACTGCAGCCTTGATCTCGACAGATAACATTCCAAGAAAAATAAATTTATAGTCATGATTCTCAAATCATAAGTGAAAACAGACACCCTGAGTGAAAACCAGCAAGGAAGAAAACAAAACCAAAAAGCTAGACAGCAGTATCAGATCCTCAAAGACTTTAGGTATTGAAATTATTAAATACAGAATATAAGGTAAGTAGGTTTAAATGTACGTCCTGGCTTTATTTTTAATTTTTTTTATTTTTACTTTTTGTGGTACATAGTAGGTGTATATATTTATGGGGTACATGAGATGTTTTGATACAGGTATGCAATGTGAAATCAGCACATCGTGGAGAATGGGGTATCTATCCCCTCAAGCATTTATCCTTTGAGTTACAAAAAATCCAATTACACTCTTTATGTTATTTTAATATATACAATTAAGTTATTATTCACTATAGTTACCCTGTTGTGCTATCAAAGAGTAGGTCTTATTCATTCTTTTTAATTCATTTGTTTTTTTAAATTAATTTAATTCATTTAATTAATTCATTCATTAACCATCTCTACCTCCCCCAGTCCTCCCCACTACCTTTCCCAGCCTCTGGTAACCATTCTTCTAGACTCTATGTCCATGAGTTCAGTTGTTTTTGATTTTTAGATCCCACAAATAAATGAGAACATGCAATGTTTGTCTTTCTGTGCCGGGTTTTTCACTTAACATAATGATCTCCATGTCCAGCGATGTTGTTGCAAATGACTGGATCTCATTCTTTCTTTATGGCTGAATGATGCTCTACTATGTATATGTACCACGTTTTCTTTTCTTTTCTTTTCTTTTTTTTTTTTTTTTTTCCGAGATGGAGACTTGCTCTGTCATCCAGGCTGGAGTGCGGGCAGTGGCTCGATCTGGGTTCACTGCAACCGCTGCCTCCCAGGTTCAAGCAATTCTTCTGCCTCAGCCTCCCGAGTAGCTGGGATTACAGATGCCTGCCACCACGCCCGGCTAATTTTTGTATTTTTAGTGGAGATGGGGTTTCACCATGCTGGCCAGGCTGGTCTCGAACTCCTGACATCATGATCTGCCCACCTGTGCTTCCCAAAGTGCTGGGATTACAGGCATGACCGTGCCTGGCTCTTTTTTTTTTTTTTTTTTTGAGATGGAGTCTCACTCTGTCGCCCAGGCTGGAGTGCAATGGCACAATCTTGGCTCACTGCAACCTCCGTCTCCCAGGTTCAAGCAATTCTCCTACCTCAGCTTCTCGAGTAGCTGGGATTACAGGCGCCCGTCACCACACTGGGCTAATTTTTGTATTTTTAGTGGAGATGGGATTTTGCCATGTTGGCCAGGCTGGTCTTGAATTCCTGACCTTATGATCCACCCACTTCGGCCTCCCAAAGTGCTGGGATTATAGGTGTGAGCCACTGCGCCCGGCCTGTACCACACTTTCTTTATTCATTCATCCATTAATAGACACTTCCAAATCTTAGCTATTGCAAACAGTGCTGCAACAAACGTTGGAGTGCGGATATTTCTTTGATACACTGATTTCTTTTCTTTTGGCTACCTCCTCAGCAGTGGGGTTGCTGGATCATGTCACGGCTTTATGGTTGTCTGCTAACACCCATTCTCCACCTTTAGCAACAGATCTCTCAAGTGTCAGCTGAGCACACGTCTACCCAGCTAGAGACAGTCTTTCTCAGTTTCTCTTGCAGCTTAACATGGCTGTGTGACTGCGTTCAGGCTGAGGGTGTGTAAGCAGACAACAATAATTTTTTTTTTACAATAATCTTTCATGAAGTTAACAAACAAGAAGGAATTAAAATACTTGATGATATTAGGGTATGATTTGGGAGATGGGTAATACGAATTAAAATGTTCTGAGGTCTTTGTGTTATTTTGATAGCGAGTAAAGATATTAATTACATTAGGCTCTGATAAGTATGCGCGCTACAATTTTCAGAGTACCCTCTAAAAGGTGAAATTTGGACTTGAATCCAGGATCTCAGTTTCTAAATAATTCTGGAAGAAGAAAATTCTTAGAGTGCTATTGGCTTTTCAGCTGCAGAATACTGGCACATCAGAAGAATTGCTGGGAGTCCAGGACCCAACCTGTCACTGAGCGTTCCCGCATACCTGACCCTCTGGAACTTCCCATCACAGCCACTAGGCAGACTCACTTCTGAGCCTTTCCCAGCACACCGCTGACCCTTTCTGTTTCTCCAGCTCACTCATTCAGAGCTCCTTCATGTCTTCAGCCACCTCCTGCTTGCCAGCTTCCTTCTAACAGAACTTGCATGTCAGGAAAGCTCGTTCGCCTACAAATAAACTATCTGAGAGACTGTGTCTTCCAGGAAGCTTCTCGTCATTGTTGGGGGAAATGCAGACAACTCACTTTGGTCATTGCAATGGTTTGGATGTGGTTGTTAAACCCTGCCAAGTCTCATGTTGAAATTTGATTCCCAATGTTGGAGGTGGAGCCTGGTGGGAGGAGTTTGGGTGGTTGAAACAGATCCCTCATGAACAGCTCGGTGCCATTCTCAACCAGTGAGTTCTCACTCTTAGTTCCCACAAGAACTGGTTGTTGAAAAGATCCTGTCACCTCCTCCATTCCTTCTTTCCAGCTTCCTCTCTCTCGCTATATGATCTGTGCAAACCGGCTCCCCTTCTCCTTCGGCCACGAGTGGAAGCTTTTTGAAGCCCTCACCAGTGCAGACGTTGGTGCCATGCTTCTCATACAGCCTGCAGAACCGTGAGGCAAATAAGCCTCTTTTCTCTATGTCACCCACAGTCAGGGATTCCTTTATAGCAACACCAATGGACTATGACAGAAAATACAGACTGTATATTGGAACCCCATCAGCCTGGTCACAGATGCCATCTCAGACCTCCCCAAACCCTCTGCTCATTTGGGTCTCTTCAGTCACGCTCTTTTAGCTGACTGTTTCCCCTCTGCTGGCCATACCCAAGTGTCCAGACCAAATTCAAGCCTCCTCCAGGACTTGGACTGTTGATCTCCCTCCTCCCATCAGACTGTGTCCCGATATGGCACTGTGTCTCTCCCTAAGGTGTGTACTCTCCTGAGAGACGCTTCCTTGGAACTGATGCTAAGGCACATCAGAAGGATCTCAGGGTGGAAAGGCTCCTATACAGCCGTCTGAAAACAAAAACAAAACAGAGGGGAGCTCCTATGGTTGAGGGTCAGAAGGAGACCCTACCTTCCTTCTCCTGCTATGAGTCTGACAGGGGGCGTATTCAATACTCTCCCACACCCTCAGTTCTCATGCCCCAGAGACCCCAAACATGTTTTCATTATCTCTCTTCATTATGTCTTCTGGATCTCTCTTCCCCTGTTCCTTCAATGTGCATTGTTGAGTGCTTACTGCATACTCAGTAATACTCCATTTGTCTTCTGCCCATAACCCAGGAGCCCAGAGTCCTAGTTACTGGTCTCTTTTGCGTCACCTATTACTGTTTGCTGTAGAGATGTGAGGTCCTACTCTCTTGGCTCAGTTCATTAGGGCTTCTTTCATGCTAAAGCAGGCCCACAGGACTTCCTGACCAGAAAACAAATTCTTGAGCTGCAACAGGTTTCTAACCCGATCCCTGCTTCAAAGGGTGGGTCCCTTCCACTCTGACAACCATGATCTCCTCATCCCATTCTACTTCCTGCTGCAACCCAGCCAAGCACCCTGCCTAGTGTGGTCATGTCATTCTCCTTTCTCACCTTCCTCTTGACCCCTGCTCTATTCCGTCCCAGGCTTGGTATCGTTCTCTCACCTGCCTGTAGTTGGCAGACTGTCAGGTCAACTGCCCCACCCCTCCTCAGACCATATGAAGCTATAAAGGCCCCTGCAGCTCTTTCACAACAGAGAAAGAGGCAACTACATTGCCTGGAGGAAGCCTAAGGAACCCAGGCATCCAGCTGCCCACGCCTGAGTCCAAGATTCTTCCCAGGAACACAAACGTAGGAGACCCACGCTCCTGGAAGCACCAGCCTTTATCTCTTCACCTTCAAGTCCCCTTTCTCAAGAATCCTCTGTTCTTTGCCCTCTAAAGTCTTGGTACATCTAGGACCCAGGCATCTTGCTTTCCAGCCACAAAGAGACAGATGAAGATGCAGAAAGGAAATGTTCTCCTTATGTTTGGTCTACTATTGCATTTAGAAGCTGGTGAGTGATTTTATTTAAAATCGGGTGGTCTGAGAACCTTTGAGGAGTTGGGAGAGAAATGTGACCACTACTGGGGCCAGCTCTGCTTCTCTTCCATAGAGTGAGGATCATCATTTTACTCGAATCACTTCAGCCTAACAAGGTATGTCATGCAGGAAGCAGTCAGACACAGTGGTTAAAATTGGGCTCTGGTCTCACATTGCCTACATTTGAATTATGGCTCCATCTATTAACTGTGTACTTTAGGTCAGTTGCTTCTCTGCGCCTCGATTTCTGCATCTGTAAAATGGTAACAACCTGTGTAATATGGTTGGGGTTTTAAATATTAAGAACAAGAAGAGTCGGCTGCTTTTAAAATGTCACTCTTCTGGCGGGGTGCGGTGGCTCATGCCTTTAATCCCAGCACTTTGGGAGGGTGAGGCAGGCAGGTCATTGAGGTCAGAAGTTCAAGACCAGCCTAGCTAACGTGGCAAAACCCTGTCTCTACTAAAAATACAAAAATTAGCTGAGTGTGTTGGCTTGTCCCTGTACTCCCAGCTACTCAGGAGGCTGAGGCAGGAAAATCGCTTGAACCCGGGAGGCGGAGGTTGCAGTGAGCCAAGATGGTGCCACTGCACTCCAGCCTGGGTGACGGAGTGAGACTCTGTCTCAAAAAAATAAAATAATAAAATAAGGCCAGGCTCAGTGGCTCACGCCTGTAATCTCAGCACTTTGGGAGGCCAAGGCGGGTGGATGTCTTGAGGCCAGGAGTTTCAGACCAGCCTGGCCAACATGGTGAAACTCCATCTCTACTAAAAGTACAAAAATTAGCCTGGCGGGGTGGCTTATGCCTGTAATCCTAGCTACTCAGGAGGCTGAGGCAGGAGAATCGCTTGAACGTGGGAGGCGGATGTTGCAGTGAGCTGAGATTGCTCCACTATACTCCAGCCTGGGCGGCAGAGCAAGACTCCGTCTCAAAAACAAATAAATAAATAAGCAATAAAATAAAATAAAATAAAATAAAATAAAATAAAATAAAATAAAATACCACTCTTCTATATTCTACAAACTCAATTTCTCTCCTACCCCTACACCTAATTCCTCGTCAGCTTCCCACGTACAGGCTGGGGAGGTTGAATGTCTTCATCCTTCTGGGAAATCAAGGGCAAAAATTTGACATAACCTTAACTCCAGCCAAGCCTCCAAGAAGTTAAAAGCCTTCCCTCTACCTTTAGACGTTGGTTTACAGCCCTTATTCCTGGGAGCTCTTATGTATTTGAGCTACATATAACTCGTTCTTCTCTAGCCTTGGCCATAGTGATCAAGGGCCCCTGGAACTTGAATGCATATAGTCACCTGGCTTCTTGTTGTACATGCAGACTCCTGGGCCCCATCTCAAATTCTAATTCATTTAGTCTGGAATGATTTGCTTAAGAATATTTTCAACATGCTCCCTTAAGTAATTCTGAAATAAGTGTGTTCTGAATATTATTCTGAGAAATATTTTCCAAGAAGGAAGCAATACTACTTAAGAAAAAAATTGATCAGTATATACTAGTTTCACCTAGTCCTATAATTCTTTTATAATACTTTATATCTGTATTGTATCTTGCATAGCAGAATGTGGAAAAAGGTTAGCTACCAGTGAAACTAGATGATGTAACTCTGGCATTGTGGGTGGGTGGTTGACTTAGCTTAGTCTCCACAAGTGCAGATTTAGTAGCCTGGGTTCAGTTTCCTGTTCCACCACTCACTAGCTGTGTAAACTTGGGCCAGTGTCAACTTTTTTTTATTTTTTATTTTTGAGACGGAGTTTTGCTCTTGGCACCCAGGCTGGAGTGCAATGGCTCGATCTCGACTCACCGCAACCTCTGCCTCCCGGGTTCAAGTGATTCTCCTGCCTCAGCCTCCCGAGTAGCTGGAATTAATGCCCGGCTAATTTTGTATTTTTAGTAGAGATGGGGTTTCTCCATGTTGGTCAGGCTGGTCTCGAACTCCCAACCTCAGGTGATCCGCCCACCTTGGCCTCCCAAAGTGCTGGGATTACAGGCGTGAGCCACCGTGCCCAGCCCAGTATCAACATTTTGAAGCCTCAATTTCTTCATCTCAGCTGGTGATAATAATAGCATCTATGTTATAGCACCATAGTGAGCATTAAATAAAATTATGTAATGAATTTAGCCAAGCAATAAGCAGAAAGTATATACACACAATATATATTTGTCATTATATGATTTCTTCAGCAACAAATTCCAATGAGACTAGCACCTCTGCCAACACTGGATCCAGTGTGATCTCCAGTGGAGCCAGCACAGCCACCAACTCTGGGTCCAGTGTGACCTCCAGTGGGGTCAGCACAGCCACCATCTCAGGGTCCAGCGTGACCTCCAATGGGGTCAGCATAGTCACCAACTCTGAGTTCCATACAACCTCCAGTGGGATCAGCACAGCCACCAACTCTGAGTTCAGCACAGTGTCCAGTGGGATCAGCATAGCCACCAACTCTGAGTCCAGCACAACCTCCAGTGGGGCCAGCACAGCCACCAACTCTGAGTCCAGCACACCCTCCAGTGGGGCCAGCACAGCCACCAACTCTGACTCCAGCACAACCTCCAGTGGGGCTAGCACAGCCACCAACTCTGACTCCAGCACAACCTCCAGTGAGGCCAGCACAGCCACCAACTCTGAGTCCAGCACAACCTCCAGTGGGGCCAGCACAGTCACCAACTCTGAGTCCAGCACAGTGTCCAGTAGGGCCAGCACTGCCACCAACTCTGAGTCCAGCACAACCTCCAGTGGGGCCAGCACAGCCACCAACTCTGAGTCCAGAACGACCTCCAATGGGGCTGGCACAGCCACCAACTCTGAGTCCAGCACGACCTCCAGTGGGGCCAGCACAGCCACCAACTCTGAGTCCAGCACACCCTCCAGTGGGGCCGGCACAGCCACCAACTCTGAGTCCAGCACGACCTCCAGTGGGGCCGGCACAGCCACCAACTCTGAGTCCAGCACAGTGTCCAGTGGGATCAGCACAGTCACCAATTCTGAGTCCAGCACACCCTCCAGTGGGGCCAACACAGCCACCAACTCTGAGTCCAGTACGACCTCCAGTGGGGCCAACACAGCCACCAACTCTGACTCCAGCACAACCTCCAGTGGGGCCAGCACAGCCACCAACTCTGAGTCCAGCACGACCTCCAGTGGGGCCAGCACAGCCACCAACTCTGAGTCCAGCACAACCTCCAGTGGGGCCAGCACAGCCACCAACTCTGGGTCCAGCACGACCTCCAGTGGGACCAGCACAGCCACCAACTCTGAGTCCAGCACAGTGTCCAGTGGGGCCAGCACAGCCACCACCTCTGAGTCCAGCACGACCTCCAGTGGGGCCAGCACAGCCACCAACTCTGAGTCCAGCACAGTGTCCAGTGGGGCCAGCACTGCCACCAATTCTGAGTCCAGCACAACCTCCAGTGGGGCCAACACAGCCACCAACTCTGGGTCCAGTGTGACCTCTGCAGGCTCTGGAACAGCAGCTCTGACTGGAATGCACACAACTTCCCATAGTGCATCTACTGCAGTGAGTGAGGCGAAGCCTGGTGGGTCCCTGGTGCCGTGGGAAATCTTCCTCATCACCCTGGTCTCGGTTGTGGCGGCCGTGGGGCTCTTTGCTGGGCTCTTCTTCTGTGTGGTGAGTGCCTAATATGTAAGAAAATGCCTGGGGGAAGGAGCAGCAGAAACACAAGGAAATGGGTGTGAATAGAAGGGGTCTCAAGTCAGGGGTGGGTAGGGAGGAAGGGAGATCAGGAAAGAGTAACACAGAGACATGGTAGGTCAATGCAGAGGAAGCTGCTGACCTGCGGGAAAAGGGGGCCACAGAAAGGACTGGAGAAAGGAGAACTAGGTAAAGAGTATGGTTGGAAGTGGGAGAAGATTCCAGAAGGCGTACGTGGTAAAGGCGTGGGAGACAGGGATGCAATTCTGAAACTATTGACTCTTCTTTTTTTAGAGAAACAGCCTGTCCCTGAGAAACACCTTTAACACAGCTGTCTACCACCCTCATGGCCTCAACCATGGCCTTGGTCCAGGCCCTGGAGGGAATCATGGAGCCCCCCACAGGCCCAGGTGGAGTCCTAACTGGTTCTGGAGGAGACCAGTATCCTCGATAGCCATGGAGATGAGCGGGAGGAACAGCGGGCCCTGAGCAGCCCCGGAAGCAAGTGCCGCATTCTTCAGGAAGGAAGAGACCTGGGCACCCAAGACCTGGTTTCCTTTCATTCATCCCAGGAGACCCCTCCCAGCTTTGTTTGAGATCCTGAAAATCTTGAAGAAGGTATTCCTCACCTTTCTTGCCTTTACCAGACACTGGAAAGAGAATACTATATTGCTCATTTAGCTAAGAAATAAATACATCTCATCTAACACACACGACAAAGAGAAGCTGTGCGTGCCCCGGGGTGGGTATCTAGCTCTGAGATGAACTCAGTTATAGGAGAAAACCTCCATGCTGGACTCCATCTGGCATTCAAAATCTCCACAGTAAAATCCAAAGACCTCATTCTTATCTGTGTGTCTGCATTTTCTAATCCTTTTTGCCCCAGGCAAGGTCCCTGTATCTCTGAGACACCCCGATTGGCTGGAGAATTGACTTGGGAGAGATAAGGAGGGAGGGCGGGTGCCAGCATGCTATGGGCTCCTGCGTGAGGCCTGTGGTACACAGAGATTAGGTTGTGATACATGAAGAGCCAAGAGCAGGATGAGGTGGAGGCGTTACAACTACCTGCTCTGTGTGTGGGGGGGGAGGGGGGAGGGGGGTACGCATATTCACTTGAAGTCGAGGTTCCCAGGGCATTTCCATGTGCTCCAGGCCTGACTACCCATCAGGGTGGAGGAGCTGGTGACACTCATCTCCCTGAGTGCTCCCTGGTTTCCCAAGGGAAAGACTTTCTGGCCTGCTGAGGTCGAATCTTCCAAGAGGCTCTTGCAAAGACCCGAGATTCTCATAAATCCCCGCCCAGAAGAGCTGCACGTATCCCTTTCATGAGTCCAGGGAAGAGGGTCCTCCAGGTCTTGGAAGACAGAGGGGAGCTGCTTTAGAGGCTAAGTTGCTTTGAGCCCACAAGGTAATGGAGGGCTCCTACTTGGGACAGAGCCCTCAGCAGAGAATTAGCAGTCTGTTGGTGGGTTCACCCCAACTCACAGCAGTAGAAACTGCTCCATCTTCCACCACTTATTGGGTTTCTCCAGTGTCAGCAAACCAAAGAATTGGATCTTACCAATGCGGCTATAGGAAAACAGCCTGTTGCATGGTAAGAGTGATACCATCTTGAAGTGAAACCACCACAATGGCCATTTTTTTTTTAGATGGAGTTTTGCAGTGGTGCAATCATAGCTCATTGCAGCCTTCAATTCCTGGGCTCAGGCAATCCTCCTGCCTCAGCCTCCTGAGTAGCTGGGACTACAGTTTCGTGTGCCACCATGCCTGGCTAATTTTTAGAATTTTTTGTAGGGACAGGGCCTCACTCTGTTGCACAAGCTGGTCTTGAACTCCTGGCCTCCTTGAACTCCTCCTGCCTTGGCCTCCCAAAATGCTGAGATTACAGGTGTGAGCCACTGCACCTCGCCAGATGTCCAATGTCTGACTCCTGCATACCAAGGTGTTCTGTATCAAGGGCTTTAAAACAATGCCTGTAGCGTAATTAACCTCTCACAAAGATGCTTATCTAACCTCCCCAGCAGTCATGGGTTTCAGCAAGAAAGTCTGTGATGTGACCAGTTGCACATGTTTTCCCCTAAAAGCTTACTCTAGAAAGGATATTTTTTGGAGAGGGAGTGTGGGAATCCACCATCTTGTGGCCACCTCAGACATCACTTCTCTTTGGAAGACTCCATTAAATATTTCTCTGTGAGAAACTGGATTTGTCAGTCTCTTTCTTTGATCTCTTTTCCCCTCAAAATTTAGGGGTAGGTTTGTGTAGACCTGTTCATGGTAGAACATTTGGTGATCCCCCAGCCAGTAGCTGGGAGAACAAGGAATGGGTAAGGAGAATGAAGCATCTGTAAGGAAACCCCAGGGCGGCAGCCACGTCTGTGTAGGGTTGGATGGCACAACTGTTCGATACCTGTGTACCTCTGTGTGAGTGCAGGGATGCCTTGAAAATGCCAGGTGGCCTAGAGCAGTTATTAACTGAAAGCCGCATAGTGCACTGGGGTACGGAAGGTCGGCCAATAGCCACTGCAGAGGGTTGGGTGCTTCTTTTGGCAATGAAGATCCGGCTAGCAGCAGAAGCCAAAATTAAATGTCTAGAGAAGGAATTGCAACTAGAAAAAGACGTGTACCTCTCCATGTCTCTCCTCACATCCAACTTAGCAAACAAAATTGAAGACCAAGAGACAAAAATTGAAATGTTAGCATGTAGATTTGTCCACCTAGGGCGAAAGATATGGAAATGACCAAAAATCAGAGCTCTCATGAGAAAGCCCAACCGGGATGTGAAAACTTGGAATCCCTGGGATTGTTATGAAGAGGAAGACTGATGACATAGAAGTCACAGGTGTGGAGGGGGATGGGGATCATTGGCAAGCTCGCTGTCTCATGCAAAGGAAAGTGAAACCTAACATTGGCAGCAAAACGGGGGTCAGCTGATACAGGAGACTCTCACTGTCAGGGAACCTACCGCTGCAGAACTCTTAGAGATTGCAAAGGCCTTTAAACAACTACCGAGGAAATCCCTGGCTGCTTGGATGGTCTGATTGTGGGACACAGGGGCTGATGATATTTCCTTAACAGGAGAAGCAGAAAAAATGAGTAACATCACCACCCATGCAGCCCTGCAGAAGCATCTTTGCTAAGGCAAGGCAGACGCAAGGGAGTCATAGCTTATGGACTGGCTCATTCTAGCTATGAGGGAGGCTTGACCTAATGAGGGAAATTTACCGGGAAGGATGACCTCCTGGCAGTCAACAGAAAAGGCCCAAGGGCTTCTCCAAGAATTAGGAATGAGTCAAGTCATCTATGTTTGGGTTCTCACAGGACTTAAAACAGTTTTTTCCTGCAGGGATGAAAAATAAATTGCTGAAGGGTGCACCAGGAGAATGGCACAACCCTTGGCTCATGTTATTGAGTCCTATAAATGGGACAAGAAGTATATGATGTGGGAAGGCCAGGCACAGGGGCTCACACCTGTAATTCCAGCAATTTGAGAGGCCGAGGCAGGCGGATTACTTGAGATCGGGAGTTCGAGACCAGCCTGGACAATATGGTGAAACCCCATCTCTACTAAAAATACAAAAATTAGCTAGGTGGTGTGCCTGTAACCCCAGCTACTTGGGAGGCTGAGGTAGGAGAATTGCTTGAACTCAGGAGGCAGAAGTTGCAGTCAGCTGAGATTGGGGCACTGCACTCCAGCCTGGGCAACAGAGTGAGACCCCGTCTCAAAAAAAAAAAAAAAAAAAAAAAAAAAGGGCTGGGCACGGTGGCTCATGCCTGTAATCCCAGCACTTTGGGAGGCCGAAGTGGATGGATCACCTGAGGTCAGGAGTTCAAGACCAGCCTGGTCAACATGGTGAAATTCCTTCTCTACTAAAAATACAAAATTAGCCGGGCATGGTGACAGGCGCCTGTAATCCCAGCTACTTGGGAGGCTGAGTCAGGAGAATAGCTTGAACGTGGGAGGCGGAGGTTGCAGTGAGCCGAGATCGTGCCATTGCACTCCAGCCTGAGCAACAACAGCGAAACTTCGTCTTAAAAAAAAAAAAAAAAAGATGTATATGACGTAGGAGAAGCCATCACAGATTTGGGAGCTACTGAGAAAGCTAGGGACGGGGTGTGCTTTGTAACCCGGCAAGGGCTGACAAAGGGGAAAGATAATGCTCCACAGGAAGAAGGGGGAAAATAAGGGAAAGCGACCAACTAGAGTCAAGAACAGGCAAATGTGGCATGACTTATTGGGAGCAGAAAAATTCTGAGAAAAAAATATGTAAAAAATGTTAAAATATGGAAAATATGAAAAATGCTGTGTTAGTAGCCTTATGGAGGGAAGTACAGACTGAAGGGCTGTTTTGTCCCTTCATTTCTGCCCCTCTAGCAGAAGAGGAAGATGACTCAACCCCTCATTCTAATACTCCAGCCTATCAGAGGGGGATTCCATGCTGGGCCCAAGATTAGCAGTGGGACCAAGGTCAACCCCACGTTGCAGGTGACCAGAGGCCCCATATTGAGCTCACCATTTACTGTTCCTCTCAAAAAAATAAGGAGAAGACTATTTCCTTAGTAGATACTAGGGCAGAATATACTTTAATTCATGGAAATCCATAAATACACCCTGGTCAATGGTCTGCCATCACTGGTTATGGGGACAAACGATCTGGATGAGAAGGACTTTAATACATCTAGGTATTGGGGAAGCTCCCCTGCCCCATATGTGGTGTTTATTTTTCTTATTCCAGAAAACTTTTTAGGCACAGGTATTCTGTTAGGAAAGACTTAGCAAACTTCAGTGGAAAAATTCAGATCGAAGGTGCATGTAGTGAAGACTGTTTTTTTTTTTTTTTTCTTTTTCTTCTTTCTTTTTATTTATTTATTTATTTATTTTTTATTGATCATTCTTGGGTGTTTCTCGCAGAGGGAGATTTGGCAGGGTCATAGGACAATAATGGAGGGAAGGTCAGCAGATAAACAAGTGAACAAAGGTCTCTGGTTTTCCTAGGCAGAGGACCCTGAGGCCTTCCGCAGTGTTTGTGTCCCTGGGTACTTGAGATTAGGGAGTGGTGATGACTCTTAACGAGCATGCTGCCTTCAAGCATCTGTTTAACAAAGCACATCTTGCACCGCCCTTAATCCATTTAACCCTGAGTGGACACAGCACTCGTTTCAGAGAGCACAGGGTTGGGGGTAAGGTCACAGATCAACAGGATCCCAAGGCAGAAGAATTTTTCTTAGTACAGAACAAAATGAAAAGTCTCCCATGTATACTTCTTTCTACACAGACACAGCAACCATCCGATTTCTCAATCTTTTCCCCACCTTTCCCCCCTTTCTATTCCACAAAACCGCCATCGTCATCATGGCCCATTCTCAATGAGCTGTTGGGTACACCTCCCAGACGGGGTGGTGGCCTGGCAGAGGGGCTCCTCACTTCCCAGTAGTGGCGGCCAGTCAGAGGCGCCCCTCACCTCCCGGACGGGGCAGCTGGCCGGGCGGGGGGCTGACCCCCCCACCTCCCTCCCGGACGGGTTGGCTGCCGGGCGGAGAGGCTCCTCACTTCCCAAACGGGGTGGCTGCCGGGCGGAGGGGCTCCTCACTTCTCAGACGGGGCGGCTGCCGGGCGGAGGGGCTCCTCACTTCTCAGACGGGGCGGTTGCCAGGCAGAGGGTCTCCTCACTTCTCAGACGGGGCGGCCGGGCAGAGACGCTCCTCACCTCCCAGACGGGGTCGCGGCCGGGCAGAGGCGCTCCTCACATCCCAGACGGGGCGGCGGGGCAGAGGCGGTCCCCACATCTCAGACGATGGGTGGCCGGGCAGAGACGCTCTTCACTTCCTAGATGTGATGGCGGCCAGGAAGAGGTGTTCCTCACTTCCTAGATGGGATGGCGGCCGGGCTGAGACGCTCCTCACTTTCCAGACTGGGCAGCCAGGCAGAGGGGCTCCTCACATCCCAGACGATGGGCGGCCAGGCGGAGACGCTCCTCACTTCCCAGACGGGGTGGCGGCCGGGCAGAGGCTGCAATCTCGGCATTTTGGGAGGCCAAGGCAGGCGGCTGGGAGGTGGAGGTTGTAGCGAGCCGAGATCACGCCACTGCACTCCAGCCTGGGCATCATTGAGCACTGAGTGAACGAGACTCCCGTCTGCAATCCCGGCACCTCGGGAGGCCGAGGCTGGCGGATCACTCGCGGTTAGGAGCTGGAGACCGGCCCCGCCAACACAGCGAAACCCCATCTCCACCAAAAAAAATACGAAAACCAGTCAGGCGTGGCGGCGCGTGCCTGCAATCGCAGGCACTCCGTGAAGACTGTTCTTGAGAGAGGAAGAAAATGGGAGCCCCTACAACTTCCTGCCCCTACATGGCGTTGTCAACATTAAATGATTCATATTGTCCAGGGGGTATGCTGAAATAAGTGCAATTATTATCCTCCCAATAAGTGCAACTATTATCCACCCAGCACAAAGCCCATGAAAGAGTCTTGTCTTTTTTCGCATTCCCGTCTTTTCTTCTAGTTTTGTTATCTTGTTGGCATTATGTCAGCCGCTGAAGCTTTTACTGTGCTGCAGCCATGGCTTTTCTTTTTTTAACTTTTATTTTAAGTTCGGGGGTTCATATGCAGGTTTGTTACATAAGTAAATGTGTGTCATGGGGGTTTTTTTGTAAAGGTTATTTCGTCACCCAGCTATTAAGCCTAGTACCCATTAGTTATTTTTCCTGATCCTCTCCCTCCTCCCACCCTCCACCCTCTGATAGGCCCCAGTGGGTGTTGTTCCCCTCTATGTGTCCCTGTGTTCTCATCATTTAGCTTCTACTTATAAGCGAGAACATGCGGTATTTGGTTTTCTGTTCCTGCATTAGTTTGCTAAGAATAATGGCCTCCAGCTCCATCCATGTCCCTGCAAAGGACATGATGTTGTTCTTTTTGTATGACTGCATAGTAGTCCATGATGTATATATACCACATTTTCTTTATCCAGTCTATCGCTGATGGGCATTTAGGTTGATTCCATGTCTTTGCTATTGTGAATACCACTGCAATGAACACATGCATGCATTTTTTTTTTTTTTTGAGATGGAGTTTTGCTCTTGTTGCCGAGGCTAGAGTGCAATGGTGCGATCTCAGCTCACTGCAACCTCTGCCTCCCGGGATCAAGCGATTCTCCTGCCTCAGCCACCCCAGTAGCTGGGATTACAGGCATGTGGCGCCACGCCCATATAATCTTGTATTTTTAGTAGAGACAGGGGTTTCTCCATATTGGTCAGCCTGGTCTCGAACTCCTGACCTCAGGTGATCCACCTGCCTCAGCCTCCCAAAGTGATGGGATTACAGGCATGAGCCACCGTGCCTGGCCACGTCCATGTGCTTTTATAACAGAATGATTTATATTCCTTTGGGTATATACCCAGTAATGGGATTGCTGGATCAGATGGTATCTGTCTTTAAGTCTTTGAAGAATCACCACAGTGTCTTCCACAATGACTGAACTAATTTATACTCCCACCAACAGTGTATAAGCATTCTTTTTTCTCCACAACCTCGCCAGCATCTTTTATTTTTTGACTTTTTAATAATAGCTGTTCTGACTGGCGTGAGATGATATCTTATTGTGGGTTTTTGTTTGTTTGTTTTGAGATGGAGTTTCGCTCTTATTGCCCAGGCTGGAGTGCAATGGCACAATATCATTGTGGTTTTGATATGCGTTTCTCTAATAATCAATGATGTTTAGCTTTTTAAAATATGTTTGTTGGCCACATGTATGTCTTCTTTTGGGAAGTGTCTGTTCATGTCCTTTGTCCACTTTTTGATGGAATTGTTTGCTTTTTTAAAATAAATTTGTTTAAGTTCCTTATAGATGCTGAATATGAGCCCTTTGTCAGATGCATAGTTTGCAAAAATTTTCTCCCATTCTGTAGGTTGTCTGTTTACTCTGTTGATAGTTTCTTTTGCTGTGCAGAAGCTCTTTCGTTTAGTTAAATCCCATTTTCAATTTTTCCTTTTGTTGCAATTGCTTTCAGAATCTTCGTCATGAAATTTTTGCCCATGCCTATGTCCTGAATGGTATTACCTAGGTTGTCTTCCAGGGTTTTATAGTTTTGGGTTTTACATTTAAGTCTTTAATCCATCGTGAGTTAATTTTTGTGTAAGGTGTAAAGAAGGGGTCCAGTTTGAATTGTTTGCATATGGCTAGCCTGTTATCCCAGCACTGTTTATTGAACAGGGAATTCTTTCCCCATTGTTTGCTTTCGTCAGGTTTGTTGAAGATCAGATAGTCGTGGGTGCGTGGTCTTATTTCTGTGTTTTCTATTCTGTTCCACTGGTGTATGTGTCTGTTCTTGTACCAGTACCATGTTGTTTTGGTTTGCAGTAATGTCTTATGGTATTGGGTGCTCATCTATGGAATGGAGATGGGCCATCAATCCTCAGAAGATGCAAGGCCCAGAGCCCACAGTGAAGATTTTTTGTTTGTTTGTTTTGTTTTGTTTTGTTTTGTTTTGAGACGGAGTCTCGCTCTGTCACCCAGGCTGGATTGCAATGGTGCGACCTTGTCTCACTGCCACCTCCGCCTCCTGGGTTCAAGCGATTCTCCTGCCTCAGCCTCCCGAGTAACTGGGACTACAGGCACCTGCCACCATGCCCAGCTAACTTTTGTATTTTTAGTAGAGATGGGGTTTCACCATATTGGCCAGGCTGGTCTCGAACTCCTGACCTTGTGATCCGCCCACCTTGGCCTCCCAAAGTGTTAGGATTACAGGTGTGAGCCATTGCACCCGGCCCACAGTGAAGTTTTTAGGGGTTACATGGTTGGGTAACACTCCTTTGATACTGGGTGCAATAATTGACAAAGCCCAACAATGTCAACTCCAGAAACAGTCAAAGAAATCCAAACATTTGTGGGTCTTTTGGGTTATTGGAGAGTATGCATCCCATACTTAGCACAGTTTTTGAGATCCCTATACAGACTTATCAGAGAAAGGGCACATTGGGCCTGGGACACACCACAGCAGGAAGCTTTGAACAGGCTGAAGTGTTGGTACAGCAGGCACAGGCCTTAGGCACCCCTTTGGAGGGTACAGCTAGGACTTTGGATGTTACTGCTGCTCCTGAGGATATGAGTGGGGCCTTATGGCAACCGCAGTCTAGGGAATCAGTCCTTTTAAGAAAGGAGCCAAAACCAGATACTCTCCTGTTGAACAAGAAGTGCTAGTAGTAGAGAATGCTTTACAGCAGGTGGAATTGCTAACAAAGACCCTTCCCATGACTGTGAGAATAGGTCTACCAATCAAGGGATGGTTAGAAGGATTTTTAAACAACCCACCTCCGCTGTAGCCCCAACACCTACCTTGAATAAATGGCATGATTATTTGCAACAAGGAAGAATGCTAGCAATGAGTCCCTTAAGCCCAGAATTACATACTGCATTAGGCTCTGTTATGACGTGAACAAACAAAGGATACCACCTGACCCTCTCCAACTCCAGCACCTGACATGGTAAGCATCCAGATGATGCTTGGTGTACAGAGGACTCCAGCAGGGGAAACCGCTGTTCTTGGACCGCTGTTGCTACACAGCCACAAACTGATACAATCTGGTTTGATACAGGTGGGCATCAGAGGAGCCACTGGGATGAGTTGCAAGCAGCCTGGTTAATAGTCACATATGAGCCTGGCCCCTGGTTCTTTGCACTGATAGCTGAGCTGTATTCAAAGGCCTAATTATGTGGCTGGCTCAACAGGAACTAGAAAAGTGGATGATTATGCACAAACCTATATGGGGCATGAACATGTGGCAAGACATACGGAAAAAGCCGCAAAGCCTTGTGGCTGATTTAACTGTATTTCAGGTGACTGCACATAAAAACCACTCAGTTCCACAAAACATGGAAGCTAAAACCCTAAAAAAAATTAGAAGCATCATGCCAGCTCAGGCCTCTGAACTATTGACCTGGGTACATAACAAAAGTGGTCACAGAAGTGCAAGAGTAGGCTGGGAGACAGTCAAGGAAGCAGGATTACTCTTAAAATGTAGTGACCAGGCTGGGCACGGTGGCTCATGCCTGTAATCCCAGCACTTTGGGAGGCCGAGGCGGGCAAATCACCTGAGGTTGGGAGTTCGAGACCAGCTTGACCAACATGGAGAAACCTGTCTCTACTAAAAATACAAAATTAGCTGGGCGTGGTGGCATGCACCTGTAATCCCAGCTACTCAGGAGGCTGAGGCAGGAGAACTGCTTGAACCCGGGAGGTGGAGGTTGTAGTGAGCCGAGATCACGCCATTGCACTCCAGCCAGGGCAATAAGAGCAAAACTCCGTCTCAAAAAAAAAAAAAAAAAAAAAAAATATATATATATATATAGTGACCTAGTCCTGGTACAGTGGCTCACACATGGGGAGGCCATGGTGGGACGATTGCTTGGGGCCAGGAGTTTGAGTCCAGCCTGGGCAACATATCGAGATCCCATCTCCACAACAACAACAAAAAATATATAGTGCCTTCCCAACAGCTCTTACAAATTGTTTACCATGTTCTCTATTGTAGATCATATTGAGCAGGACACATTCAGATATTCAGAAGGCTGTCCACCATGTAACAGATTGGCAAGTGGATTATTTAGATACTGTCCCTGTAAGCCAAGGAAATAAATACATGTTAACCTGCATGGACACCGCTACTGGACTGCTGCAAGATTCTCCCTATAAGCAAGCTAATCAAGCCAGTACTATTAAAGGCTTAGAGGCTCTCAGTACTATGTATGGATATATCTGGCACATTGACAGTGACCGAGGGACCCATTTCGCTGGATATGACATGCAGGACTGGGCCAGGAAACATGATACACTATGGCACTTTTATCTCCCATAGAACCTCCAAGCAGCAGGGTTAATTGAAAGAAATACCAGTCTGTTGAAAGCACAAATTCAAACTCTAATTTGGGAAACCTACCTTGCATAGGCAGATGAATGTGTTATCTCCAACCTTTATTTCTTTAAATTCAGCCAAAGCAGGGACGCCTGCCCCATGTGACCGTCTAGGACAACGGTCCCCCAAGCCTACCACTGTTCCCATAGGGGTAATTGAGACGACTGCTTTGCTTGCTCCCAGACCTCATTGACAACCAGTGTCTTTTGCACATGAAGATGCCAGCAGATATACTACCGAGGAGGAAACACACCGAGCTTGGAACGACAAATAGCCCCAGGCTGGATAGGCTATTTCCTGCTAGAGAGTGACAACACCCTAAATAAAGAACAAAACAACCTGATACCCAAAAACAGGCTGGGTTTATTTGGTTAATTCCGTCTTTTGGCCATGTTAGTCAACTTGCTCCTCAGTCTTGGGAACAAATGAATCATTCTAAAGATACTTGGCCAAATTGCACAAGGGATATGTGATGGATAGCAAGAGACTGATTTTTATATACTATGCTATAATATAATAAAATACTCATTGGGCATGTTACAGAACGGACACTGTGTGCAGGAATCTTTTGGTTGGCCCCAAATGGAACTTCCTGGATATGTGGTACCAATTTATGGCCTTGGTTACCCCCTGCATGTTTAGGAAGATGTTCTTTGGATTATACACGGGCACAGACTGAATAGTTCACACACTACAAAGCCTATCAATCTCCCTCATTTGAAATCCCACTGGTTCTGATCTGTTTTTTATTGGTATGATTGTTTGGCCTCCATTTGTCTTCCTCATCCGGTTATTGAAGATATTATCTGGCATATAGAAACTCTATAAAGCCTGTAATCCCTGCACTTTGGGAGGCCAAGGCAGGTGGATCAGTTGAGGTCGGGAGTTCGAGATCAGCCTGGCCAACACGGTGTAACCCCATCTCCACAAAAAATAACAAAATTAGCTGGGCGTGGTGGCGCATGCCTGTAATCCCAGTTACTTGGGAGGCTGAGGCAGGAAAATTGCTTGAACCTGGGAGGTGGAGGTTACAGTGAGCCAAGACCGTGCTACTGCACTCCTGCCCAGGTGATAGAGCGAGACTCTGACTCAAAAAATTAAAAAAACAAACTCTACAAAAAATAAAAAAAAAGAAAACTTTAAATGATAGCTGCATGGGAATCTCTCTTTTAAACATGGAAGTCACTGTCATGAGAAAGTCTGTCCTCCCAAATTACCAGGCTTTACATATACTCACGCTGCACAACGGGGCACTTGTGCAATTGGAAAAACTGCTGTGTTTATATTCCTGATGAATCAGTTAATATCGCTAAATTAATGACTGATATAAAAGCCCACATAACCAAGCTCTCAGACCCCTACTTTGAATAATTGGCTTCACAGCTGGTTTGGGTCCTGGGGCACCTGGTGGCATAAGCTGCTTCTTGGTTTAGGTGCTGTACTCGTACGTTCCTTACTGTCTTGTTTGAGCCTTTACTGCTGCTGTGTTATCTGCCTCCAGTGGAGCCAACGCACTGCTGCTAAAGCTATGCACTATCAAGGGTCCTCCCTTTAGGCCCAGGGACTATCATGGAAGAGATGAGCACGTGAAATTGTCAGGGCCAGTTTTGAGAGGTGGAGTGTAGGAATACAGCCTGTTGCACGGCAACAGGGACGCCATTTTGAAGCAAAGCTGCCATTGAGAGGTGACAGGGTGCTGGAAGTCCGCACAGCCCTTGCTCGCTCTCAGCGCCTCCTCTGCCTGGGCTCCCACTTTGGCGGCACTTGAGGAGCCCTTCAGCCCACCGCTGCACTGTGGAAGCCCCTTTCTGGGCTGGCCAAGGCCGGAGCCCACTCCCTCAGCTTGCAGGGAGGTGTGGAGGGAGAGGTGCGGAGGGAGAGGTGCGAGCGGGAACCGGGGCTGCACGCGGCGCTTGCGGGCCAGCTGGAGTTCCGGGTGGGCGTGGGCTTGGCTGGCCCTGCCGGTCCTGGGCAATGAAGGGCTTAGCACCCGGGCCAGCAGCTGCGGACGGTGTACTGGGTCCCCCAGCAGTGCCAGCCCGCCGGCGCTGCACTCGATTTCTCACCAGGCCTTAGCTGCCTTCCCGCGGGGCAGGGCTTGGGACCTGCAGCCCGCCATGCCTGAGCCTCCCACCCCCTCCATGGGCTCCTATGCGGCCCGAGCCTCCCCGACGAGTGCCACCCCCTGCTCCAGGGCGCCCAGTCCCATCGACCACCCAAGGGCTGAGGAGTGCAAGCGCACGGCGCAGGACTGGCAGGCAGCTCCACCTGCAGCCCCGGTGCGGGATCCACTGGGTGAAGCCAGCTGGGCTCCTGAGTCTGGTGGGGATGTGGAGAACCTTTATGTCTAGCTCAGGGATTGTAAATACACCAATCCGCACTCTGTATCTAGCTCAAGGTTTGTAAACACACCAATCAGCACCCTGAGTCTAGCTCAGGGTTCGTGAGTTCACCAATCGACACTCTGTATCTAGCTGCTCTGGTGGGGCCTTGAAGAACCTTCGTGTCCACACTCTGTATCTAGCTAATCTGGTGGGGACGTGGAGAACCTTTGTGTCTAGCTCAGGGATTGTAAACGCACCAATCAGCACCCTGTCAAAACAGACCACTCGGCTCTACCAATCAGCAGGATGTGGGTGGGGCCAGATAAGAGAATAAAAGCAGGCTGCCCCAGCCAGCAGTGGTAACCCGTTCTGGTCCTTTTCCTGACTGTGGAAGCTTTGTTCTTTTGCTCTTTGCAATAAATCTTGCTACTGCTCACTCTTTGGGTCCATGTTGCTTTTGTGAGCTGTAACACTCATCGTGAAGATCTGCAGCTTCATTCCTGAGCCAGCGAGACCACAAACCCACCAGAAGGAAGAAACTGAACACATGCGAACATCGGAAAGAACAAGCTCCAGACGCGCCACCTTAAGTGCTGTAACAGTAACCGCGAGGGTCTGCGGCTTCATTCTTGAAGTCAGTGAGACCAAGAAGCCACCAATTCTGGACACATCATGATGACCAGTGGTCCACTTTTGCATAGCAAAGTGCACTGCAGCACAGTCTTCAAACAATGCCTGCTGCATAAATAACCCTTCACAAACATGCTTCTTTAACCTCCGGAGTGGTTATGGGTTTTGGCAAGAAAGTCTGAGATGTGACCAGCTGCATATATTTTACCCTAAGACCTTGCTATAGAAAGGATGTTTTCTGGAGTGTCCATCGTCTTGCAGCTCTCCCAGACGTGGCTTCTGTTGCTTAGTCCTTGTTCAAAATTTCTTTTGGAGAAACTGGATTTGTTAGCCACTTATTTCATTCAGCCTTTGTTCCATAAAAGGGTCATACATGTAAAGTGGCTCCCAAACGCTGAAGGAGCCGAGAAACCAAAAACAAGGCAGATAGATCCAGTTTGTCAGTAAATGGTGATTTGCTGGGGAATTTACAGACAGAAGTGTAGTCTTGGGTGGCAGCAAGTCAGGTAGATCTCCACACCTGTTACCCCCAGACCCAGGGCTTACCCCGGAAAGGGTGTATACTTCCTGTAGAGACAATTAAAAGCAACCTTTCAGAACAGGCAGGAATGCTATGTGCGTCGTAGCCTGTAATTTATGCCATAATATCAAGGTTGCTTTGATCTAAAGGCAGGGGCTGGATGTGGTGGCTAATGCCTGTAATCCCAGAGCTTTGGGAGGGAGAGGAGGGAGGATTGCTTGGGGGCAGGAGTTTGAGACCAGTCTGGGAAACAAAACAACACCTCATCTCTACAAAAAAGAAAACCAAAATTAGTTGGGAGTGGTAGCATGTGCCTGTGGTCCCAGCTACTTGGGAGGCTGAGGCAGGAGGATCACTACAGCCCAGGAGTTAGAGGCTGCAGTGGGCTGAGATTGCACCACTGAACTCCAGCCTAGGTGACAGAGCAAGACCCTGTCTCTAAAAACAAAACAACAAACAAAAAACGAAGACAGGATTTACAGTAAGTACATGTCCTTACCAAGAACAGTAAATAAAGTAGGAATGAGGCCCATGTGACTCATGGGACCTGGGTTAATCAGAAGTCAACATGGCAGATTAGCATCCAAGATGGAGTCACTTTGTCTCCACAGCCTCTCAGCTCCCTCAGTCTTTGGGGGAAGGTTTGCATGCCCCTGCTCACTGAGGAACAGAGAGGCCACGCTGAGCCATATGCAGGCAATCATCATCATCTGCTCACTTAAAGGGATCCAGAAACCAGAAGGGAAAGACAAGTTGAACACCCTGAAAAGGTGCCTCCCACTGATAGGAACTGTGGAAACCCTTATGTGGAAAAGCATGAAAAGAAATAAGATCAGGCAAGGGTGTCCAGCTAGATCATTTTTTAAAAAAATAGTAAAACATGTATTTTCAAATTTTAATAGACAAATTGAAAGAGGCTGGCCATTATAGAGAATTATGCTAGTAATCCGGAAGAGCAAGCGCGAAAAATAACTCAAACAGACACAATTATACAGGAATAAAAATCACCCGGCAAATATAATACATTTGGAGGATAGATCCAGGAAGACTAACGTGCAAGTAATAAGGCTCAAAACAGAGAAAAAGAGACGAAATGGAAGAGAAGAATTAGAAGGGAAAAAAGAAGAGCTGGAATAGAGAAAAAAGATTTGAGTCTGTCTATGAAAAGCTTCACCAAGTACAACTCTGTAAATATACTAAAAAACACTGGTTTATTTATTTATTTATTTTAGACGGAGTCTTGCTCTGTCGCCCAGGCTGGAGTGCAGTGGCGTGATCTCAGCTCACTGCAACCTCCACCTTCCAGGTTCAAGTGATTCTCCTGCTTCAGCCTCCCGAGTAGCTGGGATTACAGGTGCGTGCCACCACACCCAGCTAATTTGTGTGTGTGTGTGTATTTTTAGTAGAGATGGGGTTTCACAATGTTGGCCAGGCTGGTCTCGAACTCCTGACCTCAGGTGATCCACCCACCTTGGACTCCCAAAGTGCTGGGATTACAGGCATGAGCCACTGCACCCGGCCTAAAACCACTGGTTTATATACTTTATTTTATTCTTATTATTTTTTTAAATTTGAGATGGAATCTCACTCTGTCACCGAGGCTGGAGTGCAGTGGCGCAATCTCGGCTCACTGCAACCTCTGCTTCCTAGGTTTAAGAGATTCTCCTCCCTCAGCCTCCCAAGTAGCTGGGATTATAGGCGAGTGCCACCATGCCTGGCTAATTTTTGTATTTTTAGTAGAGATGGGGTTTCACCACTGTTGACCAGGCTAGTCTTGAACTCCTAACCTCAGGTGATCCACCCATCTCAGCCTCCCAAAGTGCTGGGATTAGAGGCATGACCCACCTTGCCCAGCCAGGTTTATATACTTTAAACAGGTGAACTATATGGTATGTAAATTATAGCTCAATACAGCTCTTAAATTTTTACCAGGCACATTATGTAAATAAAAATTTTTATTTCCTGGCCGGACATGGTGGCTCACACCTGTGATCCCAGCATTCTGGGAGGCTGAGGCAGGCAGATCACTTGAGGCCAGGAGTTTGAGACCAGCCTGGCCAACATGGCAAAACCCTGTCTCTACTAAAAATACAAAAATTAGCCATGCGCGGTGGTGCGCGCCTGTAGTCCCAGCTACTTGGAAGGCTGAGGCAGGAGAATCACTTGAACCTGGGAGGTGGACGTTGCAGTGAGCTGAGATCATGTCACTGCACTCTAGCCTGGGTGACAGAGTGAGACTCTGTCTCAAATTTTAAAAAATTATTTCCAAAAATAAACAACAAATGACTCAAATGAATGGGCATTTTGAGCTAGAGGAAGGAGAAAAGGGGGGAGTCCCTGGTGAGCAATTTACCTTGTGATTGATTCACATAGTTGTGCTGTGAGTATCTCATTACTCCCAGCAACTGGGGTGTGCAGGTAGAGTTTGGAAGCATCATTACCCAGCTTTCGTCATGGAATACACCTACTCCTGTAATGTGACAAAGCCCCAGCCCACCAAGCATGCGTGACCCAAGCAAAAGTCCAGGAAGTGGACAGGGTTAAAGGGCTGCCCATCTAGACCTGTGCCTTTGCACTGTGGATTTAGCACAATGATCTTCACGTGGCATCTGTGCCCCCACATCTTGGGCGTACATAAAGACTTCCTGAAGAGTATTATGCAGGCGTGGGTTGTTTGATGGGAACCATTTTCCAGATCTTCAACTTCCGTATGTGCTTGTGGCCTAGAACTGATCTGTCTGAGGGCACCTCTGTGGTCAGGGCTACACTTTTCTGACTCTTCTTTGATGAACATCCAACATTTCCTCTGTAGCTCCCATATTATTATTACCACATTTCCGCAGGGTGTAGAACATTTCAGGGTGTCAAATAAAGCCTTTTAGTGAAGGGATACCTCAAAAACCACCTCTAATTTAGGGATCATATACCCAGAGTAGGACTTCCTGTTTTCTCCTGCCTCATATAAATTCCTGTGAAGGGCTACGTGGAGTGTAAGGAACTGGTAATTTTGGCATGTGTTAAGGTGTTATTTACGCAGATACACTGTAGAATGAAGTAACAGGAGTAATAAAAACTTCTTTTTTTCCTTTCTTTTTTTTTTAACAATCTCTTCTCTTCCATCCACTCTTTAAAAATGCATCCCTCTTGAGGGAGTATCTCATGAGATTGGAGCAAGAGCAGAATCAGCAGAAAGAATAGAGGAGGCAGTGGCTTATTTAACCAAGGAGAAAAATCCCATGGCAGCCAACCCACCTTATCTGTCTGTCTGCCTATTTTAGAATATTCAAGATTTGTCAACAACTTGCTGGGACAAAGCAATGTGCTATGAAGCACACTTCCCTGAATTGTACACCATTTTCTGTAAGGGGAAAGAGCTTCCTGTTCACTAGTTTCTTGGTTTAGGTAACAATTGTGTATTTGGCATGATTTCAAGGAGAAAGATGTTGTAAGCTCCAACTGATTAATGTTACACCTTAAGATAAAAGACACTTAGAGAGGCCATACGGCATGTCAGCTAAGAGCACAGATTGTGGAGCTCGAATTTCTGGTTTCAAATCCAATTTCATTGTGACTTTCCACAAATTCCTTAATTCTTCTGGGTCTCAGTTTCCATATTTGTAAACATGAGAGTGAAAATAGTACCCACTTCATGGGGTTATTGTGAAGGCTTAGAATAGTCCTGCATTTCGTAAGCGCTCTGTAAGTTGTGTTATTTTTAAAATGTTAGGTAAGTGGGCCAAGCGAGGTGGCTCATGCCTGTAATTTCAGCACTTTGGGAGGCGGAGGCGGGTGGATCACCTGAGGTCAGGCTTTTGAGACTAGCCTGACCAACATGGTGAAACCCCATCTCTACTAAAAATACAAAAACTAGCTGGCGTGGTGGCAGGCACCTGTAGTCCCAGCTACGTGGGAAGCTGAGGCAAGAGAATAGCTTGAACCTGGGAAGTGGAGGTTGCAGTGAGCCGAGATTGCACCACTGCACTCCAGCCTGGTCGACAGAGCGAGACTCCGTCTCAAAAAAATGAAAAATAAAAAATGTTAGGTAAGTTAATGATTCATATTTTCTTGAAAATATGGAAAGACGTATCATAAGAGAAGCATTTTTGCTTAATTCACCAAAAAGTTACTGGGGGCTATAAATTGAACACAGAGTCTTACAAGGCACAGGAAATTTTTTAGACGTTTATAAACATATCTTTTGATGCAGAGGAGTATGACAGGGTGATCAATAAAAGCTTTTCAAGCAAAAAATTATTACAGACCATATGACATCCCAGAAAAGACAAAACTATAAAGGCAGTCAAGAGTCAATGGTTGCCAGGGGTTACGAGGGTGGGGTGATGAATAGGTGGAGCACAGAGGATTCTTAGGGCGTGAAACTACTGTATATGATACTACAATGGTGGATGCCTGTCATTGTACATTTGTCAAAACCCATAGAATATACAAGAGTAAACCCTGACGTCAACGAGGTGGGGAGGTTGTGCTTGCGTAGGGGCAGGGAGTCTATGGGACCTCTGTACTTACCACTTAATTTTGCTGTGAACCCAAAACTGCTCTAAGAGATAAGGTTTATTAATTAGACATACTGTGATATATGTATAGCAGTAGAATATTTATGTTACTGGTATTTAATATGATATATGGAGAGAGACCAGTAGAATAATATGGGGAAAGTAAAATGGAACTATAAGTTCGTAGAGCAGGAGGAACCATTTAAAAACCTAGACTATTGAGGAAGAGCTTGCTTATATGTTATTCAAAAGGATAATGGAAGCTAGGTGCAGTGGCTCACGTCTGTAATCCCAGCACTTGGGGAGGCTGAGGCGGGAGGATTGCTTGAGCCCAAGAGTTCAACACCAGCCTGAGCAATATAGTGAGACCCCCCACATCTCTTAAAGTAAAATAAAATTTAAAAAAAGGATAATGATGAGTATTGAGATGCTGCTAGTGTTTAGAGTCTACTGGAAACATTTTAAAGAGTAGTAAAAACTTTTATTATTTCAATGTCTACATTTACAATATGGTAGAAATTACATTCTTTGCAATAATTAAATGTATGATAAAAAATTTAGATTAAACATAGACAGAGGAGGGAAAACAGCTTTTCAAAATTGTTTTTGAACGTATACACAACAGAAAATTTGAAGATGGGCACTCAAGCACATAGGACATTTCTACACAAATGGTGGCTCCAGATAGCTGAAGAAGCTTAAGCAGCTGTAGGAGAGATCTCCAAATCCAGGGACAGTGGCTGCCATCAGAGTGGTCCGTTTGTGGGAAAATGGGTCACAGACATAGACCATATCAGGCTATATTTCACAGAAAATCTTCTTCTTTTTGTTACTTTCTGATGAACTATATGCTATATGGAAGGTACCATTGAGACTCCTTGTGATGAAAATAACTCTACTTGAATTGGGGGTAAACTAAAATTAGAAGGGAAAGCAGACCCCTTGTCCAGCCAGGTTGAAGAAAATCTAAGCCGGTACAGGGTGAGGTTGAGAGAGATGGCAGCGAGAATCTGGAACACAGGCCTTTCCTAAATCAAACTTTCAGCACAGGTCATTCAAGGGCGAATTTCAAATCTATGCTATGTTTATAAATTGTGTACTCTACGTAATTGCCGGGTCCCTGGAATTCCCTACTCTGTGCGAAACTAATCTCTTACTCTCTAAAACAAACCCAAGTCCTAAGCCCACAACCCCTGTTTGCTCTTTCCTTCCTAGTCATCAGAACCCTCATGACTCAGACTCTCCAAGGAGGCATTTAAAAAAATGTTCTCGGACCAGTCAGCTCCACTCGAGCAACCTGCTCTTAACTCATTAATTTTCCCGACATGTCCCTTATGATGACTCGTCCATCTGTTTTTCAAATTCCACATAGCTGGGCCTCTGTAGCTTTGTGGTTTTATATTCCGCATACTTTCTAACAGTGACAGCTCCAGAATTTCTATGTCAGATGAAGTTGGGAACAGGCAGTCTGGTTGGAGGAAGATATTCAGGGGCCAGACTCAAAGTCCTGTTTGGACATGACAACCTCCTTTTATAATGGCGAAGAGCACAGGCTCTGCAGCTGGACTGATAGTTTAATTCCTGACTCCATCACTTACTAACTTTGTGAGTTTGGCCAAATTACTTGACTTCTCCATGGTTTAGTTTCCTTATTTGTAAAATGAAGACAATGGTAGTACTGTGTCTCAGAGTCGTTGGATGCCAATGCAGGATCCCAGTGACCAGATGGAACGAGAGGGAGCTCAGGAGAGACCAGCTTGAAGGGCCGAAGTCTTGTTCCCACATTGCCAGTAGGAGGCATAAATTCCCCCTCAGAGGACGTGCAGGAAAGAAGTGGAGGGGAGAGCCCTTGAAATGGGGGGAAAACAGTCCTGAGAGGGGCATTAAATTTCATATGGCCAAGTATTTACCCAAAAGAGACCTGAAACATTGTTTTCTTTTTCTTTCTTTTTTTTTTTTTTGAGACGGAGTCTCACTCTGTCACCCGGGCTGGAGTGCAGTGGTGCGATCTTGGCTCACTACAACCTCTGCCTCCCGGGTTCAAGCAATTCTCCTGCCTCAGCCTCCCAAGTAGCTGGGATTACAGGCACCCGCCACTACGCCCAGCTAATTTATTTTTATTTTTATTTTTATTAGAGATGGGGTTTCACCATGTTGATCAGGCTGGTCTCAAACTCCTAACCCGCCCACCTTGGCTTCCCAAAGTGTTGGGATTACAGGCGTGAGCCACCAAAATTTTTTTCTTTCTTATTGTTTTTAATTCTCCCCCCAAGCTTACTGAGGTAAAATAGACAAAAATTATATGTTTTCAGCGTGTACAATGTGTTGATTTGATGAGTATACATTGTGAAATAATTACCACTATCAAACTAATGAACACATCACCAACACATATTTACCATTTCTTTTCTGTGTGTGTTAGCAAATTTCAGATAGACAATACAATATTGTTAATTATAGTCTCCATGTGATTAAAGTTCCAGAACTCATTCTTCTTATAACTGAAAGTTTGTACCCTTGACTGTTGTTTTTAATCTTTAAATTGAGGCTTAAAATATATGCAGTAAAATGTGCAGAGTGGACACATAAGTGCTCAAGTCGTTGAATTTTATTTAATTCTTTAATGTATTTATTTTAAAGAAATAGAGACAGGGTCTTGCTATGTTGCCTAGACTGCTCTTGAACTCCTGGGCTCACACAATCCTCCCACCTCAGCCTCTCAAGGTGTTGGGATTACAGGCATGAGCCACCGCACCCGGCCAATTGTTGAATCTTAACACATGCATACACTCACCTACCCGCTTTCCAGATCAAGATGTGCCACATTCTTATCACCCCAGAAGCCTCCCCTGCCTCCTCCCCATCAGTGCCACCCTAGAGGTAGCCAGTATTTTGACTTTAATCATCATCAGTTGATTTTTCCATGTACTTGACTTTCATATAATTAGAACCATACAGTATGCCTTCCAAAAGAGACACTTTTAAAAGAAAATGAAATTTCATCACCAATATTTGGCAAGCTTATACCCGTATCCTCATTTCCAACCCCAGGCTTCCCTGCCATTGGTGGGAAAGAGAGTCTGGAAACTGAGTTGGGTGAGTTATAGCAAGCCAAACTACATTTTTCCTTGCATATCTGAATTACACGGGGTAAATTTCAATCAACTGCTAGTTGTGAGCCTAGAAATAGGGACGCAGGTGAGTCAGGGTCCCTGACCTATGCTTAAGAGCCATTGCCAAAGATTGACTCAGGGAAATGGGTAGTTCCGTGCCCCATCCTCTTCCCTACTCACTTCCGCTTGATACTAGAAGTGAGACTCACTCAGTGTCCACTTTCCCCACCCTTGGAGAGCTCACAGGGAGTGGAGTGTATCACTCACGTAGCCATGTGCTGCTCTGCAGCTGGGAAGGAGCACTCTGGAGAAAGCCGGGCGTGTGTCCTGATGCTCTTATCACCCTCCAAATCCCCAGCTTCCCCTAGATAGACTGCTATTGACCTTTACCATCCATTTGTTTCCTTTTCTTCTCTTCTTCCTTCTTTCTTCTACAAAGGCCTCCTGCTTTGAAAATGAGGCATACCCAGGGAAAACAGGTTTCAGGTCAGCTCTGGTTCAAAGGGTGGGTCCCTTCCACTCCGACAAGTTTGATCCCCTCATTCTGCCTCCCTCCCTGCCCCTCCTCATGTGTGCGCCCTCTGGTCTTGCCGACTCTGCTCTCTCCTCCGCCTTGATTCCTGTAGGGTACATCTCTCCAAACGGCCCTGCAGAAAGCACAGCGCAGAAATGCCCCTCCCTGGGGAGGGAGGACCCAAAGTTCTGGCCTCCCCTACTCAGTATCAGCTATAAATGCCACAGACACGTTTGCGAGGAAAAAAGAAGAAAAATAAGAAGCCAAACTGTGGAGCAATTTGGGGGCTCCCCCCAACCATGCCATCTGCCTACAAGGCTTACCCTGGCACTGGCTGGCCTTTGGGTCTTTTTGTGCAACTTTATTTTCTATCAAGGCCCAGGGGGTTTGCCCCTTGTCTCTCTGCCTCTTTGACCTATCCTTCCTTTGGAACCCAGGCATCTAAATGACAACTTCTATGTGCATCATTTAGAGATGAGAAGAGGAAATATCTCTCCTGCTTTCTGGTTCCTGTGGCTGCTTCTCTTTGGACTTCTGGGACCCAGTAAGTGACTTAGCAGTTAAGGAGGGAGAGGGGCATGGAGGCCACATAAGCCCTGAAGGAGATGGGGAATCCCCTGCCCAGGCATGACTCTTCTTCCAGAAACAATGATGATTCATTTTTTTTTTTTTTTTTTTGCCCATTTCTGCAAAAGCCAGTACTGATCCCAATTCCACTGACCATGATTCTGATGCTGTCTTAGAAGCAAATCTGTATTAGTCTCCCCCAGCTGTGGTTGTGAGCACATGTGGTGGGGCGGTGGGGCGGTGCTGGGGAAATGGAGGGGGGTGAGATTTTACTTTCCTTTGTATCTTGGATAAAAGTTTTTTTTTTTAACCGGAAAACTCTAGTTCCAATAGCATTCTTAATTCCAAATTAAAACCAGGATCTCAGTCTAAAGTCAAGTAAAAATCCTTCAATCCTTCTTTGTTTTTTTTCCATAGGTTATTTGGGTACAGGTGATATTTGGTTATGTAAGTGCTTTATTGGTGAATTGTGAGACTTTGGTGCACCCGTCACCAAGCAGTGTACACCGCACCCACCCTATCTGTAGTCTTTTATCTCTCGTGCCTCCCCCGTCCTTCCTCCCTAGTGCCCAAAGTCCACTGTATCATTCTCATGCGTTTGAGTCCTCACAGCTTAGCTCCCACCTATCAGTGAGAACATACGATGTTTGGTTTTCCATTCCTGAGTAACTTCACTTAGAATAATAGTCTACAGTCTCATCCAGGTCACTGCAAATGCCATTAATTCATTCCTTTTTATGGATGAGTAGTATTCCATCGTATATATATGCCAGTTTCTTTATCCACCGTTGATTGATGGGCATTTGGGTTCCATGACTTTGCAATTGTGAATTGTGCTGCTATAAACATGTGTGTGCAAGTGTCTTTTTTGTATAATGACTTCTTTTCCTCTGGGTAGATACCCAGTAGTGGGATTACTGGATCAAATGGTAGATCTACTTTTAGTTCTTTAAGAAATCTCCACACTGTTTTCCATAGTGATTGTACTAGTTTACATTCCCACTAGCAGTGTAGAAGTGTTCCCTGATCACTGCATCTACGCCAACATCTACTGTTTTTTGATTTTTTGCTTCAACCCTTCTTCGGATGCTGCCTGATTCCAAATCCATGTATAATCCCCTGAGAACTTCCCTGGTAGAAACAAACCGGAGTTCGGCCACTGAGGGGTTGGCTCTGACATTGGATCAGCAATGGCTGTGAAAGGAAACAGCCCAGGGGAGAAGTGAATTGGGCTCCGTGTGACTCCAATGGGCTGTCTGAGATAGTACTGTTCACTCCAGTCTTTGATTTCTTACATCAACATATCTTCCCTAATTATGAGACACCAGGTTAATTGGCTCATCCATTCCATTGCCTTTACTGTAGGATGGCTCGTCAAGAAGTGGGAGGTGCGGTTGAAAGAGAAGGTATAGGTTGGATGATGTGGAGGATTTGGAGTGCTTCCCCCTTCTTCCTCAGTATGCATCTGTTTCCTGCACCCCACTCTGGATTCGCTCCCTCGCCCGCTTCAGCACTTCCCTCGGCGTTCTTTTTCTTCTCTTTCCCCTTGCCTTCACCCTGAATGCTTCAACTGTTCTCTACCTACCCATGCCTTCCAGATCTGCCCGTCGCCTGTCCTAATCCTGAACTCCAGTCCTATCTGTCTGATTTTAAACAAGAGTCCCCTTACCTCAGAAGAAACTGTCATTCATGTAGTCATTCAACAAACATTTATAGAGCTCCTCCTCTGGGCCAGGCACTGCTGCGTGCTAGGCCATGGTGAGGAATGGAGTGGGAAATGCCATGGTCTTGACCCCCATGGAACACTTGGTCTACTGTAAAACATAGACTTAAATAATATTTCCTAACAAAAGGGAGCAAGTGTGCAAGGGCTGAAAGGCCCCTCCTCTTTTCCTACCACTAGATCTATAAAGTAACCAACAGTGTCTCCTGTAGCCCCATTACAGTGGATTAGCAAGGACCAACTCCTCCATCTGAATGCTGGGCGCCGTCTCACCCTCCTGCCGTCTCAGGGGCTTTGCTCAGTGCATTTCTCCTTCCCCTCCCATCTCACTTTACCTTTCTTGGGTCCTTTCCATCAGCATCCAAACAAGCTCAGTTCTGTATGCACAAGTATCATCCAAGGAGACGATTAAAAACTTGGGTTTCCAGGCCCTGACACCCCACCAAGCAAGATCTTGATTCAGTAAGCTTGGTGGGATGGCGTGGGTTCTTCAGACAGTGTGATCCCAGAGGTCCCTGGACCAAACACTGAATGATGTCCATCCTAACGTCCCCGCATCACTCCTCAGCCACCACCTCTCCCTCCACTCTCCTCCTCACCCCCATTCTTTTTTTTTTTTTTGGAGATGGAGTGTGGCTCTGTCGCCCAGGCTAGAGTGCAGTGCTGCAATCTCGGCTCACTGCAACCTCTGCCTCCCAGGTTCAAGCGATTCTCCTGCCTCAGCCTCCTGAGTAGCTGGGACTACAGGCGCACACCGCCACGCCCAGCTAATTTTTTGTATTTTAGTAGAGACGGGGTTTCATTGTGTTGCCCAGGCTGGACTCGAACTCCTGAGCTCAGACAATCTACCCACCTTGGCCTCCCAAAGTGCTGGGATTACGGGTGTGAGCTACCGGGCCTGGCCCCTCACCCCCATTCTTGAAGGACTTCCCCACACTTGCTATGTCACTTCTCACCTCCCACTCACTTGTTTATTTTATTTTATTGTATTAGGTAATGGATGTAAGCAGTTCTGAAAAAGAAATACTTGTAGTCCTACAAGGCTTCTCATAAAACTTCAGCCCCTGATTCCCTTGCCCCAATTGCTTCTTATTCTGAGTCCTGCTTCCCAGGGTTCCTGTTGGCATTTACGTTCATACTGCATTTATCTATTTATTTAGAGACAAGATCTCACTCTGTCACCCAGGCGGGAATGCAGAGACACCATCATAGCTCACTGCAGCCTGGTACTCCCGGGCTCAAGGGATCCTCTCACCTCAGCTTTCCAAAGCACTGGGATTACAGGCGTGAGCCATTGCACCCGGCCATAAATTCTCTTACTACCATTACTTCTTTGTTGGTTGAGGTTTTTTGGGTTTTTTTTCCTGCTTTGGGCATGATTTATTGTCTTCCTTCTAATGAAAAGAAAGATTTAGGTTAGACCACTCCCCCTACACACTTACTGTCTCACATTCCCGCTCACAATTCTCCCCAAATGACTGTATCAAATTTTTGGTGTTAAACTAGCATTTAGTGTTTACATTATGATAACTATAAATTTTACCTCTAGTAACATTTATAACTGGGTCATATAATTGCATTGTGATGACATTATAATAAGTATAAATGACCTCTAGTAACATTTATAACTGGGTCATATAATTGCATTGTGATGACCATCCGTTCTTGTAATTTTTGTTTTTCTAGATATTAATAATAGCCTCATTTTTAAAATGTCCATAGTTTTCTTCATATATGTAATTAATTCATCCCAAAACCTCCACCAGAAGTATCCCTGTCTTTTCCAAACACATGAGGCAATCTATCAGTTTCACTTTTTTCCCTTGAGCAATCCCATTTGGAAGCCTCTGTCCAACCAGAGCAATCCCATTTAGAAGCCTCTGTCCAACCAGTACTGGTTGCTTGCTAGATCTCTTGTCCTGCAATCTGTATTCAGCAACATTCTGGAAATTCCCTTTTTTCCCTTGTAAATTCTTATCTTTTTTCTGGCTTTATTTTTCCATCTTGGAGCATCACTTTCTCTAGAAGCTTCCTGAGAGAGAGAGTTTATGGTGGGAAATTATTTTAAAACCTTATGCACTGTTAGGGTAATGCTAAGCTGCTGTAACAAGGAGATCCCGAAAGTGGCTTTGAAAAACAAGTTTATTTTTCTCCCTTGTACCAGTCCTAAGGTAAGTATTATAGGATGGTGGGAGCTCTGCTCCATGCAGTCATTCAGGGATCCTGGGTGAATATGGTTCTTCCGTCTTCAACATATGGTTTCCAGTGTCATCATCATTTCAGCCCAAGGAGAGGGAAGAAAAACAGTATTTTGTATTATTTTATGATACAGTCAGTCAAAGTGCAGCCACAAGAGGAGAGGCTTACAGGCCCTAGAGACAGGAGGCATGGCACTGCCATGCGGGACCACCTGAGAAAGACATCAAGGTAGTCAGGAGGCAGAAGACAGGAGTGAAGGAAAGATTTATGTCTTTCCTTTTATTGGGTTTCTGTGGGAAAGGCAAGGAAAGGCAGGGTGAACAGTTTAGGATTGGCTGGTTTGAATAATTCCTGTGTTCTTTGAGCTATATGGCTGATTACCACCTAGTTGCCTAGTACTTGACTTTGGAATGACTAAGGCAGATAAATATTGTTTCCTGGAGTATATGGGCCAGATAGAGGAGCTATGGCTCTGGAATGGTTAGTCTGCATATCAGCTCATGCTCCTGGCTGGACCCTTTGCTACTTTTAAGAATTGGCTAGCCCTGGAAGGTCCTGTCTCTCCCTAGCTAGAAAAGTTTGTTAAGATGTCAAAACATGATAATATACAGAAATTAAAAATATATATACAAGCAGAAATCAAGGAATAGGTATTTACTCTTAAAGAAATGAAGTGGAAATTAATATGTATTCCTTCCCTTCAGGGGCCTCTGACTAGGGCTTAGACATGTAGCCCTACCTAGCTACAAGAGAGGTTGACAAATGTAACTTAGCCATGTGCCCAGGAAGAAGAGAAAAATGGGCCCAGCTGTCCATAGACCTTATACATCTGAAAATGTCTTATTCCACCCTCACATTTGACTCATAGTTTAGCTGGTTATAGAATTCTAGGATGGATATGATTTTTCTCAGGATTTTAAAGGCGTTGATCCACTATTCCTAGATTCTAGATTGTGAAGTCTGATATTTAGATTACTGACCTCTTGTAAAAGACCCATTCTTTTTATTCTGGAGGATTTCAGATTTTTAAAACTACTGTTCTAAAATCTCATGATATGGTGTCATAGTATGGATTCTTTCATTGTGTTAGGAATTTGCACAGTAGAAAGTTGTATCAGTCAGTTCTGGGAAATTTTATTGCATTTTTTTCTTTGATAATTGCCTCTCGTCCATTTTCTCTGTTCTGTCTTTCTGAAAAAATCTTATAATTTGGATGTTTGACCTCCTGGGCTGACACTCTAATTTTCTTATATTTCTTCTTCTGTCTTCCAACTCTGTCGTTTTATTTTTCTTCTGGGGAGATTTCCTCAGCTTCTAAAGTCTTCAAATCCTTCTAGTGAATTTTGAGGTTTTTTTTTTTCAAAGAGATCTTTTTTTTCTCTACAACCATTTTTAAGATGGCATCTCTTACTTTTTTTTTTTTTTGTGGGTGCTATACTTTCTCTTATATTGCTGAGGACATTTGAAGTTGGTTTTGCTGTTTGCATTGTCTCAGTTCTCTCTGGCTTTGCTTCATAGGGATATTTGTTTTGGTCTCTATATTTCAAGCTAGAGATTTTTCTCAAATATCTGGTAATCCCAGAATGTCCTTTGCATTTGAGTGAGGCACTAATATGATGCCTGGAAGCTCTGTGAGCAGGGGTAGGGCCTGTCAACTGGTGGACTTAGCTTTAGGGTAATTTAGCAGAGACGTGGCAGTTTAGATTGGGAAGATCCTCAAAATGTCAGTATCTAGTGTTGGCTAATTTCTTTCCACAAGAAGAATTCTCCAGATCCTGTCTAGAGCATACTAGCATAGCTGCTGAAGTGCTGGAAGCTGAGCAAGGGAATAGGTAATGTGGGTTTTACATTTCAGGGTGTAAGCATTTCCTTAATTGCATAGTTTCAGTAAAACCTTTTGAGAGGTGACAGGGTGCTGGCAGCCCTCGCTCAGTCTCGGAGCCTCCTCGGCCTCGCCACCCATTCTGGCTGCGCTTGAGGGGCCCTTCAGCCCCCCGCTGCACTGTGGGAGACCCTCTCTGGGCTGGCCGAGGCCGGAGCCAGCTCCCTCAGCTTTCAGGGAGGTGTGGAGGGAGAGGCACGGGCGGGAACCCGGGCTGCCTGCGGCACTTGCGGGCCAGCACTAGTTCCAGGTGGGCGTGGCCTCGGGGGGCCCCACACTCTGAGCCTCGGGCTGGCGTGGCCAGCACAGCTGGCCCCAGGCAGTGAGGAACTTAGCACCCGGGCCAGCAGCTGCGGAGGGTGCGCCAGGTTCCCCAGCAGTGCCAGCGGGTGCTGCGCTCCAATTCTCGCCGGACCTCAGCTGCCTCCCTGAGGGGCACGGCTTGGGACCTGCAGCCCGCCATGCCTGAGCCTCCCCCACGCCGCCATGGGCTCCTGTGCAGCCAGAACCTCCCAGACGAGCGCTGCCCCTTGCTTTGCGGCACCCGGTCCCATAGACTGCCCAAGGGCTGAGGAGTACTGGCGCACGGCGTGGGACTGACGGGCAGCTCCATCTGCGGCCCAGGTGCGGGATCCACTAGGTGAGGCCAGCTGGGCTCCTGAGTGTAGTGGGGACTTGGAGAACCTTTATGTCTAGCTAAGGGATTGTAAATACACCAATCAGCACTCTGTGTCTAGCTCAAGGTTTGCAAATGCACCAATCAGCACCCTGTGTCTAGCTAATCTGGTGGGGACTCGGAGAATCTTTATGTCTAGCTAAGGGATTGTAAATACACCAATCAGCACTCTGTGTCTAGCTCAAGGTTTGTAAACACACCAGTAAGCACCCTGTGTCTAGCTAATCTGGTGGGGACTTGGAGAATCTTTATGTCTAGCTAAGGGATTGTAAATACACCAATCAGCACCCTGTGTCTCGCTCAAGGTTTGTAAACATACCAATCAGCACCCTGTGTATAGCTCAAGGTTTGTAAATGCACCAATCAGTGCTCTGTGGGGACTTGGAGAACTTTTGTGTCTAGCTCAGGGATTGTAAACACACCAATCAGCACCTTGTCAAAACAGACCAATCAGCTCTCTGTAAAACCAATCGGCGCTCTGTAAAATGGACCAATCAGTAGGATGTGGGTGCCACCAGATAAGGGAATAAAAGCAGGCTGCCCTGAGCCAGCAGTGGCAATCCGCTTGGGTACTCTTCTATAGTGTGGAAACTTTGTTCTTTCACTCTTTGTGATAAATATTGCTGCTGCTCACTCTTTGAGTCCACACTGCGTTTATGAGTTGTAACACTCACTGCGAAAATCTGCAGTTTCACTCCTGAGGCCAGTGAGATCACGAACCCACCAGAAGAAACGCCGAACACATCTGAACATCAGAAGGAACAAACTCAGGACACACCACTTGTAAGAACTGTGACACTCACGGCGAGAGTCCACGGCTTCATTGTTGAAGTCAGACCAAGAACCCACCAATTCTGGATACACTTTCACTCCTGCCTTCAGCAGTGCCTGGGATTACTGATCTAGAGTTTCTTTGGTTTCAGTATCTCCAGAGATAAAACCCTAAGCTGTTAAAAGGAAGAGAGGTGTATTCATCCAAGTGCTTGAGTGGAAGGAGTGATCTGGAGCTGAGAGACAGTTCCTAGCTACATTGTATTTCAACTATCCTTCCTGTATTTAGTCACATGCCACACCCAAATCTTTAGAGGAACCCAGTTGCAATTCCCGAATCTTTCCAGGATTCCACAGAATTAATAATCTACCAGTAGTTGACTTACTCTCACCCCCAATGGAGGCCTGTATGTTGAAGCTTTCTCTGTTGTGTTGGAGAGTTACCACTCATCTGCCTATTACCTTCAAAAAAACAAAAATATCTCCTCTGCTGTTATCTCTCCATCGTTTGTCCTTGTGGAGGTATGTGTTTTGTTATTTCTCTACTTTTTATTCTTCTATGAAATCCGTAAGCCTCCATATATACTTATTCTTTTATTCATTCCAATTGGGGTCTACCCCATCATGCAAATCTGTTTTCAATAAACTAAACTCACTTCCATATTGTCTCTGAATCCAATGGACATGGCCCAGGCCATATCTTACTTGATCTCTCTGCAAAAATCAATTCAGTTAACTGCCATATTTTTCTAGAGCCTCTCTATTCTCTTGACTTCCTTGATTCACTTTTTAGAGTTTTCTTTCTGCCTTAGTGGATGCTCCTTCTCAGTCTCATTCATTTGCGTCTCCTCCTCTATCTGAGTGATGCAGTGGCCAGAGCTTGGTCCAGCGCCCTATTCTCCAACATACTCTCCCAGACAAGCGATCTCAGTCAGCTTCATGGCTTTAAATACAATGTATATTTAAATGACTTCCAGTTTCACGTCTTTTGATCTGATTTCTCCTCTAAGAACTAAGTGCAGGTTTCCAACTGCCAACAGTCTCCTGGATATCTAATGGGCACAAAAAGTTCAAAGTCTAATATTTCCAACTTCCACTTCATCCCTATTCATTCAGATAAATAGAACTAATTTCCAACTCTGCGTAAGCCCCAAAGCTAGAAGTTGTTCTTGACTTCTTTTCGTGTCATCCACCACATGCAGCCTTTCAACACTTCCTATTGGTTCTACTTTTCTAATTTCAAAACATAGCTTGTATTCATCCACTGAAAGGTATCTCCCCTGCTACCATCCTAGTTCAAGCAATAATTACTGCTCTTAATTTTTTCACTCTTGCCCTCCTACATGCCCGTTTTCACACAGCATCTTTTAAAAACATAAATCAATTTTGTTTTCTACTTTCTCTTCCCTTCCTGAATGATTAAGCCCCAGATCATTAGGTGAGGCAGAGCAAAGCAGATATCAGGGTTGGACAGGAGGGGAGACAGCAGTGGCCCAGAGAAGGATATAAGAAACTGAACTGGGCCGGGTGCGGTGGCTCACGCCTGTAATCCTAGCACTTTGGGAGGCTGAGGTGGGCAGATCACCTGAGGTCAGGAGTTCGAGGGCAGCCTGGCCAACATGGCAAAACTCTGTTTCTACTAGAAATACAAAAATTAGCTGGGTGTGGTAGCGCATGTCTGTATTTCCAGCTACTCAGGAGGCTGAGGCAGGAGAATCCCTTGAACCCGGGAGGTGGAAGTTGCAATGAGCCGAGATAGCACCACTGCACTCCAGCCTGGGTGACAGAGCAAGAAACTAAATTGGATGAAGTGGACTTCTCCACAGAGTGGCAGCCTGGCATGTTTTGTCAGAATCTTGTGAGGGTGAGAGGGAGTATGGGGTGGAGGGAGTATGGGCTGAAAATGAATGAATAGAATACCAGTGATTTTGTGAGACAATGTTTTGTCTGCAATATGTATTATTGAAGTTCCAGAAAAAAAGGGAACCGAAAACATGTTTAAAGAAATAGTAGCTGAAAAAATTAAATTTGATGAAAACTATAAACTCACAGATCCCAAGAACTCAACAAATATCAAGCAAAATAAACTTTAAAAAATCATACCAAAGTACAACGTAATCAAATAACTAAAAATCAGTGATAAAAGGGAAATCCTAGAACGAGCTAGAAAAGACACATTGTATAGAGAGGAGCAAAGACAAGCATAACAGACTTCCTGTGAAAAACCATGACAACCAGAAGATAAAGAAGCAACATCATTAAAATACTGAAAGAAAAAAATACTTTATCAACCTAGAATTACACGGAGTAAGAATATTTTCAATATGAAGATGAAATGAAGGCTTTTCTAGACAAGCAAAAACTGGAAGACCTTGCCTCCTGGAAATTGACTTTTTTTTTTTTTTTTTTTGATACGGAGTTTCGCTCTTGTTGCCCCAGGCTGGAGCGTAATGGCACGATCTTGGCTCACTGCAACCTCTGCCTCCCGGTGAGAGGTGACAGCGTGCTGGCAGTCCTCAGAGCCCTCGCTTGCTCTCAGCACCTCCTCTGCCTGGGCTCCCACTTTGGCGGCACTTGAGGAGCCCTTCAGCCCACCGCTGCACTGTGGGAGTCCCTTTCTGGGCTGGCCGAGGCCAGAGCCGGCTCCCTCAGCTTGCAGGGAGGTGTGGAGGGAGAGGTGCGAGCGGGAACCGGGACTGTGCGCGGCGCTTGCGGGCCAGCTGCAGTTCCAGGTAGGCGTGGGCTTGGCGGCCCCGCACTCGAAGCAGCCAGCGGGCCCTGCAGGCCCCGGGCAGTGAGGGGCTTAGCACCCGGGCCAGTGGCTGCGGAGGGTGTACTAGGTCCCCCAGCAGTGCCGGCCCACTGGCGCTGCACTGGATTTCTCACTGGGCCTTAGCTGTCTTCCCATGGGGCAGGGCTGGGGACCTGCAGCCCGCCATGCCTGAGCCTCCCACCCCCTCCATGGGCTTCTGTGCGGCCGGAGCCTCCCCGATGAGCGCCGCCCCCTGCTCCAGGGCGCCCAGTCCCACCGACCGCCCACGGGCTGAGGACTGTGAGCGCATGGCGTAGGACTGGCAGGCAGCTCCACCTGCGGCCCCGGGGCGGGATCCACTGGGTGAAGCCAGCTGGGCTCCTGAGTCTGGTGAGGACGTGGAGAGTCTTTATGTCTAGCTTAGGGATTGTAAATACACCAATCAGCACCCTGTGTGTAGCTCAGGATTTGTGAGTACACCAATGGACACTCTGTATCTAGCTGCTCTGGTAGGGCCTTGGAGAACCTTTATGTCTAGCTCAGGGATTGTAAATACACCAATCGGCACTCTGTATCTAGCTCAAGGTTTGTAAACACACCAATCAGCACCCTGTGTCTAGCTCAGGGTTTGTGAGTGCACCAATCAACACTCTGTATCTAGCTGCTCTCGTGGGGCCTTGGAGAACCTTTATGTCTAGCTCAGGGATTGTAAATACACCAATCGGCACTCTGTATCTAGCTCAAGGTTTGTAAACACACCAATCAGCACCCTGTGTTTAGCTCAAAGTTTGTGAGTGCACCAATCGACACTCTGTATCTAGCTGCTCTGGAGGGGCCTTGGAGGACCTCTGTGTCCATATTCTGTATCTAACTAATCTGATGGGGACGTGGAGAACCTTTGTATGTAGCTCAGGGATTGTAAACGCACCAATCAGCACCCTGTCAAAACAGACCACTCGGCTCTACCAATCAGCAGGATGTGGGTGGGGCCAGATAAGAGAATAAAAGCAGGCTGCCCGAGCCAGCAGTGGCAACCTGCTTGGGTCGTTTTCCACACTGTGGAAACTTTGTTCTTTTGCTCTTTGCAATAGATTTTGCTACTGCTCACTTTTTGGGTCTACACTGTTTTTATGATCTGTAACACTCACCGTAAAGGTCTGCAGCTTCTCTCCTGAAGCCAGCGAGCCCACGAGCCCACTGAGAGGAAGGAACAATTCCACACGCATGGGCTTAAGAGTTGCTAACACTCACTGTGAAGGTTTGCAGCTTCACTCATGAGCCAGCGAGAGCACAAACCCACCAGAAGGAAGAAACTCCGAACACATCTGAACATCAGAAGGAGCAAACTCCAGACATGCCACCTTAAGAGCTGTAACACTCACTGTGAGGGTCTGTGGCTTCATTCTTGAAGTCAGTGAGACCAAGAACCCACCAATTCCAGACACACTGGGTTCAAGCGATTTTCCTGCCTCAGCCTCTCGAGTAGCTGGGATTACAGGCATGTAATTAGCCACACCATGCCTGGCTAATTTTGTATTTTTAGTACAGATGGGGGTTCTCAATTTTGGTTAGGCTGGTATCGAACTCCTGGTGATCTGCCTGCCTCTGCTTCCCAAAATGCTGGGATTACAGGCGTGAATCGACAGGCAAGACTGACATTTTTTTTTAAATGTAAAAGTTCTTCAGGAAGAAAAAATTTAGATCTATGCAAAAAAGAATGAAGTGTGCTGGAAATGATAAATATATGGGTAAAAATAAAATTTTTTTCATTTAAATTTTAAAAGATAATATACTTGAGTAATAATGAATTATGAGGCTTATATGTAGACATAAAATGTATGACAACAGTGGTACAAGGGATAGAAAAAGGAAATGGAAGTGTACTGTGTTGAGACTCTCATGCCTTTACAGGAAGAGGAATGAGCTCACTGGGAGGTAGACAGTGATAAAGGTGTATATCGTAAATCCTAGAGCAAAGGCACACAAATAAGAATGATATTTAATAAGCTAATGGTGGAAATAAAATGGGGTCAAAAATGACTCAGGTCATGGTGCAGCGGTTTATGCCTGTAATCCTAGCCCTTTGGGAGGCTGAGGCAGGTGGATCACTTGAGGCCAGGAGTTAGAGACCAGCCTGGGCAACGTGGTGAAACCCTGTCTCTACTAAAAATACAAAAATTAGCTGGGCGTGGTGGCGCATGCCTGTGGTTCCAGCTACTCAGGAGGCCGAGGCAGGAGAATCACTTGAACCTGGGAAGTGGAATTGGCAGTGAGCTGAGATCCCATCACTGCACTCCAGCCTGAGTGACAGATCAAGACGCTCAAAAAACAAAACAAAACAAAAAACAAAATACTGGGTTAATTAAAAAAAAAAAAGGTGAAAAATGGAGGAAAAGGTAAGAAGATCAGACGAGAAAAATAGAAAACAAATATGAAGACTATTAAATTCAGGGCCAGCTACAGTGGTTCACACTTGTAATTCCAGCACTTTTTGGGGCTGAGGCAGGAAGATTACTTGAGCCCAGGAGTTCGAGACAAGCCCAGGCAACATAGGGAGACCCCATCTTTACAAGAAATAAAAATTAAAAAGTAATTAGCCAGGCATCATGACTCGTGCCTGTGATCCTAGATAGTTCGGAGGCTGAGGCAGGAGGATTTCTTGAGCTTAGAAAGTCAAGGCTGCAGTCAGCCGTGATTGTGCCACTGCATTATAGCCTGAGTGACAGAGCAAGACTCTGTCTCTAAAAAAGAATCAGACCCAACGTATTTATAATTACATTAAATGTATATGGTCCAGACACCACAATTAAAAGGCAGAGATTGACACATTGGTTAAAAAAGAAAGCCCCAAATAAATAATATTCAACCAAGAAATACATTTTAACTAACTATAACTACAAATAGGGTAAACAATAGGATAAAAATAAGAGGAAGAAAGATACGGCCATACTGTATGTTAGCCATGCTAACATCAATTTAGAAAAAAATTGAGTGACTATTTCAAAATCAGACAAAATAGGCTTAAGAAGAGGTATATTATTAGGGATAAAGAGAGACATTTCATAATTATAATCACAACACAATATTTACTAACTACAAAGGGAGAAAAACCAGCCTGGATACACCTTCTTAATCAAGTAATCCAAGAGAACATCATCAATGATGGGACACATTGATATTATCTGTCACCTGATAGTATGCAAAGAGAAGAATACAGCATCACTTCAGTGGTTTTCCTGGCAAAGATTAATAACATGAGCCTAATCATGATGAAACATTACAAAAACTCAGTTTAAGGAAAATTCTATAAAATAATTGACCTGTAATCTTCAAAGGTTAAAAGTTATGAAGATCAAAGGAAGACTGAAGAACTGCACCAGACTGAAGAAGACTAAAGAGACAGAACAACGAAAAACAACACACGATTCTGAATTGAACTGGTTTACTATTAAAGACATTATTAGAACAACTAACAAAACTTGAAAGGGATCTAAGGATCAGGTGGCAGCAATATATTCATGTGAATTTCTTTATCTTGATGGCTGTATTATGGTTGCGTATGAGAATATATAAAGTATTGAAGGATAATGAGACAGATTCAGGGAAAAGGGTTCTTTGTGTTATACTTGTTACAAAAGAATTTGTGATTTTTTTTTTCAAAATAAAAACAAAGAGAAATTAACCAGAGTATGTTATTCCAGTGGGTCTTCATTGTATTTGAGATGAAATTTAACCTTTCTACCATGGTATTTTGCTAAACTCTGAGTATACCCCTGTCAGCAAAAGAAATGTGGGCTTATGTTCTTGTAAAGAAGAGTTTAGAATATAAAGAATGTAAATACACCTTTGGGTTATGTGTTGTTAAAAAGGCAGGGGTCCTGCTTCAGAGATTATGGTTAGAAAAGGTCTCTCTACCGCCTCGTTTTCTCCTTCAGTAACTACATTCCAGCCACCCTGGTCTCCTATTTATTCATGAATCACATCGAGCTCATTAACAACTCAGGGTATTTGTACTTATGCTATCAATCTGTGATGTCCTTCTCCTGGCCTTTCAAATTGCTGCCTTCTTTTTTTTTTTTTTTTTTAAGATGGAGTTTTGCCCTTGTTGGCCAGGCTGGAGTGCAGTGGTGCAATCTTGGCTCACTGCAACCTCCGCCTTCCGGTTCAAGTGATTCTCCTGCCTCAGCCTCCTGAATAGCTGGGATTATAGGCATGCGCCACCATGCCTGGCTAATTTTGTATTTTTAGTAGAGATGGGGTTTCTCCATATTGGTCAGGCTGGTCTTGAACTCCCGGCCTCAGGTGATCCGCCTGGGATTACAGGCTTGAGCCACTGCGCCCAGCCCAAATGGCTGCCTTCTTATCCTTCAGATCTCAGTTCATATGTCAGTTCCTCAGAGAGACCTTTTCTGACTCCAGTATCTAAAGCAGCACCACTGCTTTCTTTAACAGCACTTAAGCCAATGTGTATTTATATTTTATGTTGTAGCTCTCTTCTTTACTAAATTATAAGCCCATATCCCTTTTGCTGACAGGAGTATGCCCAGAGTTTAGTAAAATACCAGGTACATGTTAAGCCCTCAATAACTGAATAAATAAATGAATAAGAAGTACTGAGTATATGTGAAAGTAACACTATACTAAACCTGCAAATTCATCTTTAACCCATTCCCACCACCTTATTTGTTCTCCACCTCAGGCTCTGAGAATACCACAGCCTTCACAAAAGGCTCCGACACCACCACAGCCTCCATCACAGGCTCTGAGACCACCATGGCCTCCACCATGGCCTCTACTACGGCCTTAACTACAGGCTCTAAGATCACCACAGACTCTACCACAGGCTCTGAGACAACCTCAGCCTCCACCATGGCTTCTACTGCAGCCTTCACCACAGGCTCTGAGACCAACACGGCCTCTACCACAGACTCAGGGACTACTATAGCCTCCACTGGGACCTTCACCACAGGCTCTGACACAACCACAGGCTCCACTGCAGGCTCTGAAACTGTCGTGGCCTCCACCACAGTCTCTGGGACCACAACAACCTTTACTATAGCCTCCACTACAGTCCCTGAGACTACCATGGCCTCCAGCACAACCTCCACTGCAGGCTCTGAGAAAACGATGGCCTCCTCCATAATTTCTGAGACCACCATGGCCTCCACCACAGGCTCTGAGACTGCCACAGTCTCTACCACAGGCTCTGAGACCACCACCACCTCCACTGCAAGCTCTGAGGCCACTAAAGTCTCTACCACAGGCTCTGAAACCACCACAGCATCTACTGCAGGTTCTGAGACCACCACTACCTCCACCTCCATGGCAGGCTCTGAGGCCACCACAACCTCAACTGCAGACTCCAAGGTGATCACGGCGTCCAGCATGAGCTCTGAGACCACTGTGGCCCCCGCTGCAGGCTCTAACACCACCACAGCCTCTACCACAGGCTCTGAGACCACTACAATCCTGATTAAAGCCTCTGAGACCACCACAGCCTCTACAGCAGGTTCTGAGACCACCACCCCCTCCCCCACAGGCTCTCAGACCACCATAGTCTCTATTTCAGGTTCTGAGATCACCACCACCTCTACGGCAGGATCCGAGAACACCACAGTCTCTAGTGCAGGCTCTGGGACCACCACAGCTTCTATGGCAGGCTCTGAGACCACCGTCTCCACTGCAGGCTCTGAGACCACTACAGTCTCTATCACAGGCACTGAGACCACCATGGTCTCTGCCATGGGCTCAGAGACCACCACAAACTCTACTACAAGCTCTGAGACCACCGTCACCTCTACTGCAGGCTCTGAGACCACCACAGTCTCCACCGTGGGCTCTGAGACCACCACAGCCTATACTGCAGATTCTGAGACCACTGCAGCCTCTACCACAGGCTCTGAGATGACCACAGTCTTCACTGCAGGCTCGGAAACCATCACACCCTCTACTGCAGGCTCAGAGACCACCACAGTCTCTACTGCAGGCTCTGAGACCACTACAGTCTCCACCACAGGCTCTGAGACCACAACAGCCTCTACTGCACATTCTGAGACGACTGCAGCCTCCACCATGGGCTCTGAGACCACCAAAGTCTCAACTGCAGGCTCTGAGACCACAGTCTCCACTGCAGGCTCTGAGACCACTGCAGCCTCTACTGAAGATTCTGAAACCAACACCGCATTTACTGAAGATTCTAAGACTACCACAGCCTCTACTACAGGGTTTGAGACAACCGCAGCCTCTACTACAGGCTCTGAGCCTACCATGGCATCCACCATGGGCTCTGAGACCACTATGGCCTCTACCATAGGCCCTGAGACCACCAAGGTCTCCACTGCAAGCTCTGAGGTGACCACAGTCTTTGCTGCAGGCTCTGAGACAATCAGAGCCTCTACCGTAGGCTCTGAGACCACCACAGTCTCTACCACAGGCTCTGAGACCACCACAGCCTCCATCATGGGCTCTGAGACCAGCACAGATTCTACCACAGGCTCTGAGACCACCACAGCCTCTACTGAAGGCTCTGAGACCACCACAGCTTCCACTGAAGGCTCTGAGGCCACTACAGTCTCCACCACAGGCTCTGAGACCACTACAGTTTCTATCACAGACTCAGAGACCACCACCACCTGTACTGAAGGCTCTGAGATGACTGCAGTCTCCACCACAGTCTTTGAGACCACTACAGCCTCTACTGAAGGCTCTGAGATCACAATAGCCTCTACTTCAGACTCTGAGACCACCACAGCTTCTACTGAAGGTTCTGAGACCACTACAGTCACTACCGCAGGCTCTGAGACCAAAACAGCCTATACTACAGGCTCTGAGACCACCACAGCCTCTAATACAGGCTTGGAGACCACCACAGTCTTTACCATAGGCTCTGACACCACCACAGCCTCTACTGAAGGCTCTGAGACCACTGCAGTCTCTGCCACAGGCTCTGAGATGACCACAGTCTCTACTGAAGGCTCTGAGAACACTACAGTCTCCACCACAGGCTCTGAGACCACTACAGTTTCCACCACAGGCTTGGAGACCACCACCACTTCCACTGAAGGCTCTGAGATGACTACAGTCTCCACCACAGGTGCTGAGACCACCACAGACTCTACTGAAGGCTCTGGGACCACTGCAGCCTCCACTGCAGGCTCTGAGACCACCACAGTCTCTACTGCAGATTCTGAGAACACCACAGCATCTACTGCAGATTCTGAGACCACCTCAGCCTCTACTACAGGCTCTGAGACCACCACAGCCTCTACTACAAGCTCTGAGACCACCACAGCCTCTACTGAAGGCTCTGAGACCACTACAGTCTCCACCACAGACTCTGAGACCACCATGGTCTCTACCACAGGCTCTGAGAGGACCATCACCTCTACTGAAGGCTCTGAGACCACTACAGTATCTGCCACAGGCTCTGAGACCACAGTCTCTACTGAAGGCTCTGGGACCACTACAGTCTCCATCACAGGCTCTGAGACCACTAAAGTTTCTACCACAGGTTCAGAGACCACCACCACTTCTACTGAAGGCTCTGAGATTACTACAGCCTCCATCACAGGCTCTGAGACCACCACAGCCTCTACTGAAGGCTCCGAGACCACCACAGCCTCTACTGAAGGCTCCGAGACCACCTCAGCCTCTACTACAGGCTCTGAGACCACCACAGCCTCTACTACAAGCTCTGAGACCACCATGGCATCCATCATGGGCTCTGAGACCACTATGGCCTCTACCATAGGCTCTGAGACCACCAAGGTCTCCACTGCAAGCTCTAAAATGACCACAGTCTTCACTGAAAACTCTGAGACCACCATAGCCTCTACCACAGCCTCTGAGACCACCACAGTCTCCACTGCAGGCTCTGAGACCATCCCAGCCTCTACAGCAGGCTCTGAGACCACCACCACCACCTCTACTGAAGGCTCTGAGACCACTACAGCCTCTACTGAAGGCTCTGAGACCACCACAGCCTCTACTGAAAGCTCTGAGACCACTACAGCCACTACCATAGGCTCTGAGACCACCACAGCCTCTACTGAAGGCTCTGAGACTACCACCACCTCTACTGAAGGCTCTGAGACCACCACAGCCTCTACTGAAGGCTCTGAGATCACTACAGTTTCTACCACAGGCTCTGAGACCACCACAGCCTCTACTGAAGGCTCTGAGACCACCACAGCCTCTACTGAAGGCTCTGAGCTCACTACAGTTTCTACCACAGGCTCTGAGACCATCACAGTCTCTGCTGAAGGCTCTGAGACCACTACAGTCACTACTATGGGCTCTGAGACCACCACGGCCTCTACTGCAGGCTCAGAGACCACCACAGTCTCTACTGCAGGCTCTGAGACCACCACAGCCTCTATTGAAGGCTCTGAGACCACTACAGTCTCCTCCACAGGCTCTGAGACCACCACAGTCTCTACCACAGGCACTGAGACTACCATCACCTCTACTGAAGGTTCAGAGACCACTACAGTCACTACTGCAGGTTCTGAGACCACAGCAGTCTATACCACAGGCTCTGAGACTACCACCACCTCTACTGAAGGCTCTGAGACAACCACAGTCTCTACCACGGGCTCTGAGACCACCACAGCCTCTACCGCAGATTTGGAGACCACCACAGTCTCCACCTCAGGCTCTGGGACCACCACAGCCTCTACCGCAGGCTCTGAGACCACAACAGTCTATATCACAGGCTCTAAGACTACCACCGCCTCTACTGAAGGCTCTGAGGCCACTACAGTTTCTACCACTAGCTCTGAGACCACCACAGCCTCTACCACAGGCTCTGAGATGACTACAGTCTTTACCACAGTCTCTGAGACCACCACAGTCTCTACCATAGGCTCTGAGGCCACCACATCCTCTGCTGCAGGCTCTGAGGCCACCACCACCTCTACTGAAGGCTCTGAGACCACCACAGCCTCCACTGCAGGCTCTGAGACCACCACAGCCTCCACTGCAGGCTCTGAGACCACCACAGCCTCCACTTCAGGCTCTGAGACCAACACAGCCTGTACCACAGGTTCTGAGACCTCCACACCCTCCAGTGCAGGCTCTGAGACCAACACTGCCTTCATCATAGGCTCTGAGACCACCATAGCTTCCACTGCAAGCTTGGAGCCCACTGCAACTTCCCTCACAGGCTCTGAGACCACCACAGTCTCTATCACAGCTTCTGGGGCCACTGCAGCCTCCACCACTGTCTCTTCCACCACGTTTGTACTCACCAAGGCCACTGACGTTTCTATCCAGCCCATCACCAACACACCTATGTCAGGTACTAACCCCCATGTCTTCTTTGAGCCCACACATTTTAACTCCAGTGGCAACCACCAGCTGTTCACCTGTTTCTATCATCTCTGCCCTGGTTCAAGTCAAGCCAGCACACAGTTAGATATAATTTCCTCTTCTAGGCTGGGCGCGGTGGCTCATGCCTGTAATCCCAGCACATTGGAAGGCTGAGGCGAGCGAATCACGAGATCAGGAGATTGAGACCATCCTGGCTAACACGGTGAAATCCAGTCTCTACTAAAAATACAAAAAATTAGCTGGGCGTGGTGGCGGGCACCTGTAGTCCCAGCTACTCGGAAGGCTGAGGCAGGAGAATGATGTGAATCCGGGAGGTGGAGCTTGCAGTGAGCAGAGATCGCGCCATTGCATTCCAGCCTGGGCGACAGAGCGAGACTCCGTCTCAAAAAAAAAAAAAAAAAAATTTCCTCTTCTGGAATCCTAATTGCCTCTACTCTGGTCTCACCTCTTTTTTTTTTTTAAGTGCCCACCACTTCCATTGCAATCAGAACCACAATATAGTAAACCACAAGTGCATCATATCTGTCACATCTTCCTCCAGCAAGCCCGCCTCAACTCTACTGGCCCATCACAGTTTTGTGAAATGCTCCCACTTCGGTGCCAAGTAGATTATCTCTATTCAACCAACCATCTGTGACACTGCCACCTCCTATCAATGTATTGACTCTAGACCAGAGGCTGGCAGACCACATTTCATGGGTCAAGTCTCACCTGTTACCTGGTTTTGTAAAGTTTTACTGGAACATAGTCATGCCCATTCATTTATGGTTTGTCTCCAGCTGCTTTTCTGCTTTTCCGTGTATTTGCAACAGAGACAGCCTGGCCCAAAAGCCTAAAGTATTTGCTGTTTGGACCTTTACAGAAAAAATTTGGCAACCTTTGCTCCAGTCTGAGACCAAACAATTTTGTTCATTCTCTGGCACTTGCCATCAGCAAGCCGGTTACATCTGATTCTATCCTCTTGGTTCTAAGCACACTCACTTCTATTCTCATGACTGGTGCTGTTTGTGATCCCATTTTAACCACTTCTGACCTAGGCACACCCATCGCTACCTAAGCCGCCACCACCGCCTCTGCTGTGTTGATTCGTGCTCACACCTGTCTGAGCCCACCCTCTCCTATCCCTGTGAGCAGCCTTCTCCACTTGGGTCAGGTCCTCCCACATCTGCCCAAGCACACTCACCTCACCTTTGCTGATCACCACAGTGTGGTAGATGATGTCACCTCTGTCCCAGCCACGGCCACTGGCATGCCCATGAGTGAATCCAATTCTGCCATCTCCTCCTCCAGCTCCCTCCTTACACCCAGTGATCACAGTCACAAAAGAAGCAGGGCCTGCCGCTTTGTATACCAGCCCACCCACTTATTTGATCTGCTTTGATTTATTTATTTTCAATTTTTTCCATAAGTTATTGGGATGCAGGTGGTATTTGGTTATATGAATAAGTTCTTTAGTGGTGATTTGTGAGATTTTGGTGCACCCATCACCCTAGTAGTATACACTGCACCATATTTGAAGTCTTTTATCCCTCGCCCCCTCCCACTCTTCCCCCAAAGTCCCCAAAGTCCATTGCATCATTCTTATGTCTTCGTATTTCCATAGCTTAGCTCCCACATATCAGTGAGAACATACGATGTTCGGTTTTCCATTCCTGAGTTACTTCACTTAGAAGAATAGTCTAAAATCTCATCCAGGTCACTGCAATGCTGTTAATTCATTCCTTTTTATCAGCCCACCCTCTTCTATTTGGGTGGCCACTTCTGAAGTCAAATAGATCTTCCACTTCTGAACCCATCGCGATAACGTTTCCTCAAACTTCTGCCTCCTCCATCACCAACTCCACCAGGTGACACATTCTACCTCCTTCTCTGTATGACACCCACCTGCATTCTGGGGACATGGCCACAGCAGAATCGCTTTCTACCATCTCTCCTCCCCCACCACACCTCTCCTGAGCCACCTCCACCATAGGTTTGTTAGATTCACCCTCCTCTGCTCTAAGCACCCCCATTCCCCTTTAATCATCTCTGCTACAAATGCATCATCTTGTGTGACCTGTTTCATAGGCACCAGAACCACTGGAACCAGACCCACTGCCTCCAGCTCTGTCACCATGGCCCCTGGAATGGACTTCACGGCCTCTGCTGCCAGCCATACTGTGCCAGGAATAGTCTTAAACACCTCTGGCCTGGGTACATCCACTATGGGAGCATCATCTACCACCTCAGCCCACGGCGTCAGGACCACCACAGGATCCACCCGTGAGCCAACCAGCAGCACCTTCCAGGAAACAGGCCCGGTGTCCATGGGCACAAACACAGTTAGCATGAGCCACACACCCACAAACGTGATCAAACCAAGTGGATATTTACAGCCCTGGGCTATCATCCTCATTTCCCTGGCTGCAGTTGTGGCTGCTGTTGGATTGTCAGTAGGACTGAGTTTTTGTCTGGTGAGTACCCAGGGTGGGTTCATAGGGGAGCCTGGCAAGAAGGCAGGGGGGAATCATGTCAGCAGTGCTTTGGAAAAATCCAGAATGAGAAAGGGGAGTAAGTTGGTGCGCTCAGAAGGAAAGAATCACCTAGCCTGATATAAGGACCAGAGAGAATGCTTAAGTCAGAGAAAGTGAGAAGCAAAGTAGAAAAAGAGGAGGGAAAAGATGGAGTTGGGGCCAAAGTGAAGGGAAATACTGACAGAACAAGGGAAATACTGAGAGAGAACAAGGAGGACATAAACATAAAGAAAGCAAGAAGCAGCTGGGCGCAGTGGCTCACCCCTGTAATTCCAGCACTTTGGAAGGCCAAGGAGGGCGGATCACTTGAGTCCAGGCATTTGAGACCAGCCTGGCCAACATGGTGAAACTTGTCTTTACTAAAAATACAAAAATTAGTCGAGAGTGGTAGCATGGACCTGTAGTCCCAGCTACTTTGGAGGCTGAGGCACGAGAATTGCTTGAACCTGGGAGATGGAGGTTGCAGTGAGCAGAGATCGTGCCACTGCACTCCAGCCTGAGTGACAGAGCAAGATCCTGTCTCGAAAGGAAGGAAGAAAGAAAAGAAAGGTAGGAAGGAAGGAAGGAGAGAGAGAGAGAAAAAGAGAAAGAATGAGGAAGAAAGGAAGAAAGCAAGAAAGAGAAAGGAAGAAAGAAAGAAAGAAACTGAGAGAGAAAGAGAAAGAAAAAAGAAAGAAGGAAAGAAAGAGAGAGAGAAATAGAGAAAAGAAAGAAGCATAAAAATGTTCAGCCATCCAAAATGCGGGCTTCCGATTGTCTCATGTATGACAAATTTCTGGTCCTCACAGCAATTCCTTGTGTGGCCTGTGACTGTTACTCTCTGACCTCCCACTCCATCTCTGCTCTCTGGTCTTGATTGTTCTTTGAATACATATTTTTCTTACATCGATTTCACATTTATTGATGTTCTTCCTGTTTTCTTGTGATCCTGCGGGTAAGTTACCATTTGAGGAGTGAAGCAGAGTATAAATCAGTGGTGTGCTGGAGCTGGCTCATCCTGGCCCACAAGAGATTGTGCAGTTCTTCCCAATTCTGAGCTGAGTGGTGTGACACTGGTAGCTTAAAATATGCTGTGTTGGAAATTCTTACACCACAGTAATTGTCAAACACTACAAATCAGCACTTTTCCCTCGGAGAGCCTGTTATTAAGTGTTGGACAGCATACCACTGGTAAAAATGGACAAAATGAAAAATACGGAAGTCACAAAAGGTTTGGATAATATAGTCAATTTGCTGAGGTTCTTTATTTTAGAATTCTCAGCCTCTCTCCGTATGTGGACTACATAATAAATACCAGCATCTAAGAATTACTCCCTAAATTACTTTATTATTTCATTTGCAAGATCAAGAGAGAATAATGAAAGTGAACATTGAGTTTTTACTGCCTGCTAGGCTCAAGGCTGAATGTTTAAAATGCATAATGTTATTTAATCTGGCCTACAATCCCGTGGCCATATTATATTCATCTTACAAGTAAGGGATCTGGAGCTTCATGATCTTAGCTATTTGCCCCAGCACATGTAGTGAGTGGCAGATATAAGACTCTAACTCAGGTTAGTTGGATTCTGGAGTTCATGCCTATAATCTCAAAGCTCTGTGTAGACAGCTTTCTAGAGCTCTCAATTCCACGTACCTGTTCTGAGCTTTCTTAGCTGACTAACAAAGAGAAAGACTGTCTGTAAAGTGAGTCTCTGTGCCTTTCACATAGGGGTATGGATTTACCTTTGTCTTGGAAGTCCAAAAACACATAACCTTATGATCTGCAGAGCTAGGGCCTGAGTACGCACATAAAGATGATATGTTAATAAGGTAACAAGGAAGCTTATTTTGTCAGACGGAGAAAGAGTAAAAGAACAAGGAAAAAGAGAGACAGAGACACAGATCATAGTAAGGATGGTGGTAAAGAGAAGAGAACATGGGCAGTTTGGAAAAGTGAAAATCTGACATTGGTGAAACAGGCATGTATGGTGATTAGGGAGAGGAGACTTAATTTTCATTTATCAATGTATTTATTTTTTTCTTTTAGAGAGACCTTTTCTTCCCCCTGAGATATTGTGGTATTTATTACCCCCATGGCCACAGCCACAGCCTTGGTCTGGACCTGGACTTGGGCCTGGGCTCTGGGACATTCCACAGCCTGGGAAATGCACTGGTTCATGGAGGAGAACTTGAAATGGGACATGGAGGAACACATGGCTTTGGATATGGAGTGGGCCATGGACTGAGCCACATCCATGGAGATGGCTACGGAGTGAATCATGGCGGGCATTATGGACATGGAGGAGGCCACTGAGGACACCATGGAGTGGATCACAGAGGGAGCCACCAAGGAGGCCACGGCAGGACAAGATGGCTGTGGCCATAGATTGGGTATCAAAACATATTATGGGTGGGAGGGGGTCATGGAGGAGAAAAAAATAATGATCATGAAATAATTAAAATGGAGCATAGGAAGCTTCCCAGGATGTGATCCATGGAGATGGACATGGACTAGGTCAAGAAAAGAACCAGCAAAAGGACCTCAGAGACTTTGACTGGCTTGGAGGGGACTTCAAGTCAAAGCTTCTGTGAGTTTTTCCTGAGTCTCAGCCTCTGTTGTGGGGAGTCACGACAACCACCCTCAGGACATCTTCTCTCCCATTTCCCGCCACATCAGGGTCAACGTTTCTCATCCCTGTGTTTCCTCATGGTGCTATAAATATTACCAAGACATGTCTAAGAAACAAAAGCACATAATGAATGTATTATCAGGGCCACACACGTATTCGTTTTCCTGTTTGTTCTTTCAGGTTTTGTTTTTTTTTTTTTTTTTTGAGTGCTTATTATGTACCAATCACTATCCCAGGAGCCTTTAAATACGTCATCATTTGGCTGGGTGTGGTGGCTCACGCCTGTAATCCCAGCACTTTGGGAGGCCAATGCGGGTGGATCACTTGAGGTCAGGAGTTCGAGACCAGCCTGGCCAACATGGTGAAACCCCGTCTCTACTAAATAAATACAAAAATCAGCCAGGCGTGGTGGCGAGTGCCTATAATCCCAGCTACTCAGGATGCTGAGGCAGGAGAATCGGTTGAATCTGGGAGGTGGAGGTTGCAGTGAGGCGAGATTGTGCCACTGCACTCCAGCCTGGGCGACAGAGGAAGACTCTGTCTCAAAAAAAAAAAAAAGGTCATCATTTAATCCTCAGAAAATATCTTGGTGACCTTGAGGTAGGCAAAGATACTTAGATACTTAAGCAAGACACAAAAAGCACTAGCTATTAAAAGAAAGTGTGATGATTTGGACTTCATTAAAGCCTAGTATCAGCATATACCTTTAAGAGGTATATTCTTAACTATAAAAGGAAAGTCAAAGATGGGAGAAGATATTGCAACACATATAGCTAACAAACGACTCATATCCAGAATGCAGAAAGAGCTACAATAAGAAAAAGATGATGCAATTTTAAATTGGGCAAAATATTTGATAAATAGTTAGCAAAAGAGGATATCAAAACAGCCGGTGAACATTTGAAAAGGTACCCAATATCACTGCTTATCAGAAGTGGAATGTAAAACCGCAATGAGATACCACTACATACACACACTGTAATGACTAGCATTTGAAAGACTGCCAGTACCAAGTATTGGAAAGGACATTGAACAACTGGAACTCTCACACATTGTTAGTGGGAGTGTAAATTGATACAATTATCTTGGGAAAATGTTTGGCAATGCTAAAATTAAACACATACCCTATGACTCGGTACTTCCACTCCTGAGAGTAAATATCCAGCAGAAATGAATACCTGTGTCCACCAAAAGACATGTACCATGCCAGCTTCATTCATACCACTGCAGGGTGGAAATTTAACCCCAAAGTCCACTAACATTAGAACAGGTAAGTAAATTGTGACATATTCATGCAGTGGAATGCTACCCAGTAGTGAAAAAAAAAACCTATGAAATCACACAATAACATTAATGAATCTCATAGTCAGTGTTGAGTAAAAGAAGTCAAAACAAAAGTGTACCTACTGTATAATTCCATTCACATGCAGTTCAAGGCCATGTGACATTAACCTGTTGTAATAAAGGTCAGAGTTGAGGATGCCTTGGGGGAAAAGGCTGACCGGGAGAAGGCATGAGAAAGCCTTCTTGCAGGGGCAGACAGGGGAAGCTGAGAATGTTCTGTGTATGATCTGGGTGGTGATTACAAGGGTGTATAGATATGTAAAACTTCATTAAAATGTGCACATGAGATCTGTGCACTTTATGGTATGTAAGTTATGTCTCAATTTGAAAAATGAAAAAGATATTCTGAGGCTATTTTCTCAGCATATTATGATTTCCTTGGTCAGAGAATGTGGTTGGAGACACATGACGATAAATGAGGCATTTGGTAAGCCCAAAGACAGTGGTGCTGCAGGAAGCATTGTGTGCAAGGGAGGCAAGCAGCTATTTTCAATGAGGACAAATCACCTCTCTCTTTAGGTTGAAATAGGTCTGATATAATTAATCTGCCATTCTCTCTGGAGAATGGTGCCACATAACGGGGCCAACACTGATCTCTGCTGTTAGCAGTTGAGGCACTCAGCCATGGATTATCTGTCCAGCTTGGCCTTGGTGAGGGGAAGGCCAGCTCACTGAGCCTTGCATACGCTTCATCCCTGCCAGCCTGTCTGCTTTGTCCATGTCCCTGCTGAGCGAGCACTAGAGCAGCTGGAAAAAGAGATTGGCTGACGTCTGCAGAATGGATCGCTTGGTCAACCTCATCATGGAAGATTTCCTCTGTAGTGAACGCCCATTGGTGAACAGTCACATGGGATGCACATACTCTCACCATCTGTGCCCTTCCCAAGAGACTCGTCCACCTTCCTCTTTCCCAGACTTCCTTGTCATCAATTCACCATGTCTTTCCTCACCCTGAGTTATCTAGCCAAACTGTTAGCCACTGCCTATTGATCAGGGTTAACTGTAACTGGTCATCTCTTTGCCCAGGCAAAGTAAACAAAGCAGATGCATTCTTTACAATTCGGATCACTGGGAGAATTTTCCTTCCCCACTGTCCTGCAGGGCTGCCGTGAGTGGGGTGGTAATGCTGCAGCAGCCTGCTCTCTGTGGTGTTAGAATAGCATGCAGAACCACCCACACACCAGAGGAAACCAAATCTTTCCTTTCTCAGTCAACTAGACATAGGAAACCCTTCATGTGACTGTGATTATGGAGAGAGAGGTTAGGAATGTAGCTGGAGATGCCACTGGAGTTACAGCTGCCTACTCATGCCTCTTACTTGTGCCTTGAGGAACTAACTCAGCCAAATTCACAGGCACCACTTCCATTCAAGGAGGTGAGCACTGCTAAGTATGCCCAGTCTAGTGTGGTGGTGCAGACAACACCCAGTTCATAAAGGGCAGCTCATGTTTCATGAACCCTCGCATGCTGAGGACCCAAGATTAAGTCAGATGCTAGGATGTGGAAGAGGGCTTGCTTTTGCTCCAAAACTCTGGGGACCTGTGCCGTGGCTCTTCTACTAGCTACCCAGTGTCTCCACACAGCTTTCTGATGTACCACAGACATTTTAGGCAACATTGGATCTAGTCAGCAATGTCTCAAGCAGCCTTATGGCCTTGCTTTGGTTCCCACTTGAAAGTGGGGAAATATGCGCAGACGGAGCCTAGAGATGAACTTTGAGTAAGATGTTATTTATGTTCTTTTTTTTTTGAGATGGAGTCTTGCTCTGTCGCCCAGGCTGGAATAGTGGCACGATCTTGGCTCACTGCAACCTCCGCCTCCCGCCTCCCGGGTTCAAGCGATTCTCCTGTCTCAACCTCTCGAGTAGGTGGAACTACAGGCGCCTGCCACCATGCCTGGCTAATTTTCGTATCTTTAGTAGAGCCAGGTTTTTACCTTGTTGGTCAGGCTGGTCTCAAACTTCTGACCTCAAGTAATCCACCTGCCTTGGCCCCACAAAGTGCTAGGATTGCCGGCATGAACCACTGTGCCCGGCCACGTCATTTATGTTCTAAGCCCCATAAGCTCCACCCTGACTTGTAGATCGCAATGATGTCTTGTATGTTACCCTAAAGGTTTGGGTGTTTTCATTTCCCCATTGCACTGTCACGATGATAAATGGCTGAGATTCCTTTTGAAAGCTAGGAGGAAGATTCGCGGCACATCCTGGTGGTGGTGGTGGATCTTGCTGCCTTCCCTTCATTTCTAGGTCTGTGAACAGGTTCGGGCCTGGGAATTAGGTGAGAGTCTGTGGCAACTCAAGTCAGCTCTCTGTTCAACCACCTGGATATTTTCACTTATATAGATCAAGTAAGATTTTAGTGGTTAATTGATTAATGATTAATTAGCCATAGCCAAAGAGCCCTGATTACAGCTCTGGTCGTGATGCCCACATCGATAATCATGCCTGTCTTGTCTCTGGAGGGAAAGCCCTACCACCTACCTACTGTTTCCTGAAGATTCCACCATGCCCACTGAAATCAGGAAGCTCATTTCAATGGTCAGATCATCCACCATTGCATTTAGCAAAGAGCTGCTACAGAGCTTTTCAACGATGCTGGTCCTCTCCCTTCTAATGCCTTGATGAAGACAGTTTCAATGGAACCTTCTGGGAGGACGTAATGAAAGAGTGAGTGAGCAAGTTGCACATATTAAATCCATTCCAAAATAACTCTCTTCCTAAGTCTTTTGATTTTTTTCTTCCGCTTATACTAATGAAATACTGGGATCTCAACTTTATTTAGTGTAGGCCACCACTAAGTCCACATTTCAAGCAACCGAGAGAACTATTAGTGCAACTCACACCTACTTGAGCTAATGTTTTGAATCTAGAACATGTGATAAGTTCACCCATGTATTTGTTTTCTATCAGTGATAACTTACTACAAATGCAGCAGCTTAAACCAACACCCATTTATCAGACCACAGTTCTATGAGGCGGGTCTGGGGCCAGCATGACTGACTCCTTTGCTCAGTCTCACAGGTTAAAATGAAGGTGTTAGTTGAGCTGCATCCTCATCTGGAGGCTGGCATCTCTTTCAAGCTCACGTGGTTGTGGCAGAGTCCAGTTCCTTGTGTTTAGAGTTGAGGCCCCTGTTTCCTTGCTCACTGTCATCTATGGTTGTTTTCAGCCCCTAGATCTGACTCAACGCATGGAGCTGGAGGCCACGAGGGGCATTGTAATAGGGCCTGTGGTAGGCAGAATAACAGCCCCTCAAAAACATCCACGTTTCAATTCCCAGAACCTGGAAATATGTTACTTTATATGGCAAAAGGGACTCTGCATGCATGATCGCATTAAGGATCTTGTAATGGGGAGATTATCCTGGATTATCTGTATGGGCCCAATGTGATCACAAAGGTCCTTATAAGAGGGAGATGAGAGGCCGGGCGCAGTGACTCACACCTGTAATCTCAGCACTTAGGGAGGCTGAGGAGGGTAGATCACGAGGTCAGGAGTTCGAGACCAGCCTGGTCAAGATGATGAAACCCTGTCTCTACTAAAAATACAAAATGTAGCCGGGTGTAGTGGTGGGTGCCTGTAATCCCAGCCTCTCAGGGGGCTGAGGCAGGAGAATGGCTTGAACCCAGGAGGTGGAGGTTGCAGTGAGCCAAGATTGCACCACTGCACTCTAGCCTGGGCAACAGGGCAAGACTCAATCTCAAAAAAAAAAAAAAAAAGAGGGAGACAGGAGTCAGAGTCAGAGAGATTTGAAGATGCTGCGATGCAAGCTTTGAAGATGGAAGAAGGGGCCACAAACCAAGGAGTGCTGGAAGCCTCTAGCGGTGGAAAAGGTGAGTAAACAGATTCTTCTCTAGAGCCTCCAGAAGGACCACAGACCAGCTGACACCTTGACTTTAGCCCAGTAAAACCTATTTTAAACTTCCGATCTCCAGAACTGCAAGATAATATATTTGTGCTATCTTCAGCCTGAATTTGTGGTAATTTGTCACGCAGCAATAAGAAACTAATACAGGGCCTGAGGAAAATCTGTGTCCCCTTGCCAAGGGAGTGCTGTGAGGGCGTCACTATAGGGTCTTCAGGCAAGAGAAAGTGACTTCCTCACAGAGGGGAGGAGGGGCTACTTCTGCTGGCAAGGAAAGCTCTGCGGGATTTGGAGGTTCAAAGTTTTTCAGACTCATCAAAATCTACCCAGGTGTCTCCACTCCAATTCTGGGCTTCCGTTAACAAATATTCCAAATGTCACACACGAGACTGGCAAAGATATAAATGCAAGTTGAATATAATTCTCCAATCTGCAGAATCAAACTGTGGGTCTGGTTTTTTCATACATAGTCCCTGTGGCTTTGAGAGATAAGCATGTCTTTTAGAATATTCAGAGAAAGCTCTGTGTTCGCTGGCAATGCCTTGACTGAGGATGCAGCAGAGGGGTCATTTTTTTCCTGTAATCTCCCAGTGCAGCCACCCACAGTCCCGGCAGTCAACACTCCCAGCTTCACGATCTGTCACAGCGACCACCTGGGCTCCCGGCCCTTCCCTTCAACAATTGCTTTATTCCAGGCACCACCACAGGTGATAACTTAAGTCACTTTTTCTATCTTTTGCTGTGTAATACAAAGACTTCATTTTATACTAGCATGAGGTCGCCCCTGCCCTCAAGCCTAATGGGTCAGGGAACCAATCCCAGATTGCCACCTTTGAACGTCAATTTTCTGAAACCTCTTGTTATACCAAATACTGTAACAGTCAGAGTTCACTTATGAAAACAGAAACCACTTTGGATATTTCAAGCATAAAAGGATTTAGTACAAGAAGTAGATGTTTATAAAACCACTCGAAAAGGTGGTGTGCCGCCCATTGCTTCCCATTCTATACACAGTGATTCACGCTGGTCACACGCAGTCAGCTCTGGCGGGTGCATTTGCACCACGAGAAGTGAGTTGTTAAACATTTACCAGCACACACGCTGCAGGGGACCTAAGGAGAGTGATGGCACTGGAAAGAGGAATGCTCCTGCTTCTAATCCTCCTTGATAGAGGCGCTCCCCTTTTGTTTTTGAAGAATTTATAGAAGCTTTTCCACCGGGGAGCTTCAGCTAGGTCTTCTCATCAGTGCTGTGTGCCAGACAAGCCAGATGATCAAGGAAGTACCTACACTTTGGACACTGTCAGTTTGCCTGGGGACTGAGAGCTTACAGTCCAAGCTTGCTTCAACTCTGGCTGAGGCCAACAGAGAGAGCCCAAAGACAACTGAAGGAGCGGCAGAAAACAAATATGGGAACGGGGTAATTGGCTTCCAGTTCCTTCATTCGCAGGTCATGAAAAAAACCTGGGGCTAGACTCCATGAGAGTTTTTTTGTTTTCTGTTTTGTTTGTTTGTCTGTTTGTTTGTTTGAGACTGAGTCTCGCTCTGTCACCCAGGCTGGAGTGCAGTGGCGCGATCTCGGCTCACTACAAGCTCCGCTTCCCAGGTTCACGCCATTCTCCTGCCTCAGCCTCCCGAGTAGCTGGGACTACAGGCGCCCGCCACCACGCCCTGCTAATTGTTTTGTATTTTTCGTAGAGACAGGGTTTCACTGTGTTAGCCAGGATGGTCTCGATCTCCTGACCTTGTGATCCACCCGCCTCAGCCTCCCAAAGTGCTGGGATTACAGGCGCGAGCCACCGTGCCCGGCCTGTTTTCTGTTTTTTTGAGACAGGGTCTTGCTCTGTTGCCCAGGCCCTTGAACTATTCCACTTCCCACTCCTCCCCAGGCCCTTCCTAATGGGACTAAGTCATCCTCCACCCTCACCTACCTTCTGGCTGCTGTACCCTCCTCTCTAAGCTTGGGGATTCTGCCACTGCTCACAGCTGGAAGAACAACAGCCTACATGTCCAGGCCTTGCCCAGTCCAGATGATGCTTTAAAGGCCTTCTTCTTCTTCCTTTTTTTTTTTTTTTTTTTTTGAGATGGAGTCTCACTCTGTTGCCCAGGCTGGAGTGCAATGGCGTGGTCTCAGCTCACTGCAACCTCTGCCTCCTGGGCTCAAGCGATTCTCCCGCCTCAGCCTCCCAAGCAACTGGGACTACAGGCATGTGCCACCACACCAAGCTAATTTTTGTATTTTTAGTAGTGATGGCGTTTCACTATGTTGGCCAGGCTGGTCTCGAACTACTGACCTCGTAATCTGCCTATCTTGGCCTCCCAAAGTTCTGGGATTACAGGCATGAGCCACTGTACCCGCCCTAAAGGCCTTCTTTGAAAGAGAAAAAGAAGAGGTGGCATTCTGTGAAGGAACATCAAGGACCAGACATCCAGCTTCCCCTGCAGCCCAGGTCCCCCTAGCGGTGCTTCTCTTCAGATTGAGGACCTATTCTTTGGAGTTCCGAATTCCTAGTAGTCCAGCCCTCAGATCTCCACCTTGAGACTCCACCCTCAAGATTCTCATTTTCTGCCTTTCCCTTCTAAGGCTTAATCCCATCGGGACTAAGGGAGGAGCCTTCCCTTCCAGCCTCACACAGGCAGACTATCTCAAAAGAAAGAGAAAGCAATTTTCCCTTGCATGCTGGCTGTTTCACTTCCTTCTACTTTTAGGAAATGGTGAGTGATTTTGTTTAAAAGAGAATAATCTTGGAGTTTGAGTAGAGTTTGGGGAAAGTGTTGACAACTTCTGGGACACACACTCTGTCCTTGTTGCCCCCATTCTCTTCAAGGCAGGAGGGATGATTATTTTGCTTCTTTCTCTCCAATGCAACCCAGCATCTGTCCTCCGTTCTGTTCTCAGTGGCAACTCTTCTGCCCAGAAGATGGACCTATTTACTCTATAATACATCATTCCCAGATATAGGCGCATTAGAGTTGGAAGAGAACTTGAATTAGTGTCTGACCACCCGTAATAGGCAGGGATCTATTTCCAGCGTCTCTGACAGCAGTCATCTAGCCTCTAATTAAACACTTCATGAGACATTGCTGTTCCACACTCACGCAGATTTAATTCTCTCTAGAATCTGCCCCAGCATGGCTTTGACTCTTGTGTTTTATGCCCCTGACCAACACAAAACCAGTCTATTCCCTCTCCACAGGCCAGCTTTTCATCTCAACTTCTCACTTAGTTTCTCTCTTGGCTCTGACCCTAACCTAAGGCATCGACACACAGTTTTGGGATTCTTCCCTCAAATCTAAATTGGCAATCCTTATGTTAGTCCAGACAACACCAAGGCAAGAACATATGTGGAGGGTGAAGGGCAGCACCTACATCCAGGGAGAGAACAGGGCCATCGATGAGGAGAGGGTCTATAGGGATCTGGGAGGTCAAGGGCTTGGTTGTTAATGGGATGGAAAATCAGAACAGGGTAGAAAATAGGCATGACAGGGAAAGAAGCTCAGTCTCACCTTAACTCTAACTGATCCAACAAGAAAGCTGAGCCACTTTCCTGAATCCCAGAAGATCTTATTTCTTCAAGCTGACATGACTGATTCTTTACTAGTCCATGTGTCAAGACCATCTGGGGTCCCTTAAACCAGTGGCTCCCAAACTATTTTTTTTTTTTGAGACAGAGTCTTGCTCCGTCGCCCAGGCTGGAGTGCAGTGGCGTGCTCTCAGCTCATTGCAACCTCCACCTTCCAGGCTCAAGCGATTCTCGTGCCTCAACCTCCCGAGTAGCTGGGATTACAGGTGTGCACCACCATGCTTGTCTAATTTTTTTGTATGTGTAGTAGAGACAGGGTTTCTCCATGTTGTCCAGGCTGGTCGAGACTCCTGGCCTCAAGTGATCCTCCTGTCTTGGCCTCCCAAAGTGCTGGGATTACAGGTGTGAGCCACTGCGCCCAGCCCCAAACTTTTGTGTTCAGAAGAATTACCCGATGTAGTAAAAATGCACATCATGGTCCCCTCCCAAACCGATTCCGCTTGATTATCTGCCCCCTAGAGGAAGGGCACAATACTGTTTGGAGAGGAGCTTGATGGGCCTTCAACTTTTCTCTTACGTTCTTTAGTCGGAGAGTATCATGAATAGTTAAAAGAATAACACCATCCCCTGTAAACCCTGGTCTTGTAACTCCCCCATACCTGGGATATGGAATAATGCATGGGTTAAGGGCTTTAGGGGCTGGCTCTGGGGTCAGACTGCCTTGATTTAAATCGTTGTTCCACTACCTACTAACTGTCTGACCTGGAACTAGCTGCTTAACTTCTCTAAACCTCAATTTACCTATCTATAAAATGGGGGTAATATTAGTTTCTATCTCAAGGAGGTATTGTAAGGATTTTAGTACTAATTTATATGTGGCACTTAGCACAGTGCCTGGAATATAGTGAGCATTCTTAAATGACAGCCACTATTATTATCACTAGTATTACTCATAGTAGCGGTAGTGGTGAACAAAACCAAATTTCCAGTGGAGCCAACCAGCCACCCTTTCTTAACCAGCTGTAACTTCCAGTGAAATCACCACGATCATCCCCCCAGATTAACCCCACCTTCCAGTGGAATCACTGTGACCACCCCTCCAGGATCAACCACACCATCCAGCGAAATTACTGTGAACACTGCCCTGGACCAACCACACCTTCCAGTGGAATCACCATGACCACCCCTCCAGGATCAACCACATTATCCAGCAGAATCACCGTGACCACGCTCCCTGGACCAACCACACCTCCCAGTGGAATCACTACAACCCCCCTGCCCTGGGTCCACTATATCTTCCAGTGGAACTAACACAACAACCGCAACCTCCAGTGTCACCAGCACAAGTGCAGCCCCTCCAGGGAATGAGGGAAGGTCTAATGGATGCCTGAGGCTGTGGGAAGTCATCCTAGTCACTCTGGCCTTGGTTGCAATGGCTGTGATTCTCTTCACAGGGCTCTTTTATTTCATGAGTGCCTGATGTGTGGGAAATCCTTTTTCTGAGGGAGGGAGTGCAGGGAACTGAGGAGGGAAGCAGGGTAGAGAGAGTAGGGTCATTGTGTGGCTAATAGGGAATGAGAAATCAGGAGAGGGACAAAGCAAGACAGAGACAGCAGGTGAGAACCAGCAAGAGAGAGGGCTAGAAAAGCTGGTACATGTTCAGAGGAAATTGATGAGGAGAGAAGGGGCCAAAGGAGTACTGAGGCTGGGGAGGCCGAATGGGGAGTGGGGACACGTGGGATGGGAGAGCACTGGAAGAGGGGCATAACTCTGAACCATCCATCCTTTTGTTTTCTAGAGAAACTCTCTGTGCCTAAGAAACCTCTTCACCAAAGATCTTCACATCCCAAACCTTGGTCCATGTCCTCAAGGATATCATGGAGTCCAAGATGGGTCAAGTGAGACTGAAACGGATTTTAGAGACCAGTGTTCTCCCACAGGCATGGAGCTGATGAGGAGACACAGTGTCCCTAAAGGCAGGCACTTCACTGTCCTCAGGGTGGGGAGGACCAGCGGTCTCGGTTTTCCTCACTTGCCCCCAGGGCTGCTCCTCCCAGCTCTGCTCCAGCCCCTGACACTCCTACCTTCTGTTTAGTTCTCCCAGACCTGAAACAGGAGGCTATCGCTAGTGCTGAATGATTAAATAAGTGCATCTGCTCTATGTGACAGCCAGACTGTGGGTGTGTGCTTGTATATTGCTGTGAAGAGAGGTTTCCTATATCATGAGGACACTCTTTCGCTGTGACCTCCCAGTTCTCAAATCCTAGCATGAAATCCAGAGACCTCACATCTGTCCCATTTTCTTCCCCACTCCTTCCCTGCTCCCCGAGGCCTCTGGGTCGATGGAAGAACGGAGTCAGGAGAGATGGGGGAAGGCAGGTGCTGGTCTTTACAGACGTGTGTTGCATGGCAGGAAAACAGCCTCTGCGTGAGCCTAGAACATGAACTGGAGGAAAGTGATCCTGTTTTCATGTTGTGAGGTAGGAAAGAGCTTGCTACTGGGGCCACCCTTAGACATGGCCACTTTTCCTGGCCACTCACGTCTGCTCTGGGCTGCAGGTGTGAGTTGCCACCTTTCTCTCCTGTGGGCTCCCAGCCCAGCAACTGTCCTGGGCAGGGAGAATGTGCTCCCAGTTTTTGCAAGGGCAGGACTGGCTTGCCCTGCTACGGTCTAGATCCTCAGCAGCTCCCCCAAAACCAGGCCTCAGAGGGCACACATGCCAGTGTCAGCACCATGCTCAGGCCTGGTCCCACCCAGGCTTCTGGTGCAACTTGCTCTCGCACTCGCACACGCACCCCACTGATTCTTCCTCCCTGTGAATCACTCGCCTCTGCTTTATCAGTTTCACCCTCTGCTAAGTCTCTTCAGCTTCTGGGATTCTCCTGGGTCTTTGGGAGAGCCTTAACAGGACCAAGCTGTTTCTCTAAGAACATTTTACAATATGATGAACAAAACTGTTTTTAGGCTGGGTGCGGTGGCTCATGATGCCTGTAATCTTAGCATTTTGGGAGGCTGAGGCGGGCGGATCGCCTGAGGTCAGGAGTTCAAAACCAGCCCTGCCAACATGGCAAAACCCCGTCTCTACTAAAAATACAAAAATTAGCCGGGTGTGGTGGCACATGCCTGTAGTTTCAGCTACTCGGGAAGCTGAGGTGGGAGGATTGCTTGAACCTGGGAGGCGGAGGTTGCAGTGAGCAGAGATTGCGCTACTGCACTCCACTGTGGGCAACAGAGAAAGACTCTGTCTCCAAAACAAAACAAACAAAAAACATAACAACAACAACAAAATCTATTTTTAACAGATGCAAGAGAGTATCTACTGTACAATTTATTTGCATGAAATTCAACAATAGGCAAAACTAATCTATGGTGGCAGAGATCAGATCTCCTATGAGGGTGAGGGTTTTTAGGAAGGGGGCACTTTCTGGGTGATAGGAATGTTTTCTATATCAACTGGTCTGTTGGTTACACAGGTAAATACACTTGTCAAAACTCAGCTAACAGCTGGGTGTGGTGGCTGACGCTTGTAATTCCAGCACTTTGGGAGGCTGAGGTGAAAGGATTGCTTCAGCCCAAGAGTTTGAGACCAGCCTGGGCAACATGGCAAGACCTCATCTCTACAAAACATACAAATATTAGTCGGGTATAGTAATGCACACCTGTAGTTCTAGCTACTTGGGAGGCTGAGGTGGGATGATTGCTTGAGCCCAGGAGGTCAAGGCTGCAGTGAGCCGTGATGGTGCCACTGCACTCCAACCCGGGCAACAGAGTGAGACCCTGTCTCAAAAAAACAAAACAAAACAAGAAACCTCCACTAACTGAATTCTTAAGATCTGTGCATTTCACTTTTTGTAAATTTTACCTCAATAGGAAGAAAAAATGTATATTCGGGTTTTTTATTTTGGGATTTTTTAATTTTTATTTTTATATTAGGGTTTTAAAATAATACCTTGAAGATATTTATCAGTGTATCCATTATCTCCTCTTCAGTTTTAAGAGCCCCCAGACCTTTTCGTAAAATAATTATCATCTTTTGCACTCATTTTTTCATTCATTCATTCACCATATTTACTGGACACCTGCTTGGCATGAGGTCTCAAGGAGCTGGGGCAGCTAGGATGACCCTGTAGGTCACAGTTGGGTGAGGGAGGTACATAAGTTACAGGCCAACGCATCAAGTAGTATGAATGGAAGCACCACAGGAGGAAACATCTAACTTGATGAGGGGAGGAGAGGCTGACTCACATAGAAGGTGACATTTGGATTTTGAGGAGTTAGCAGGCATTTACGAGGAGCAGAAGAGGAAATGCCAGGCAAGCAAGCAGCTTGTGCAAGACTGGGCATGGCACGGCCAGTGAAGGTCAGAAGACCTGTGGGGCTGGAGAGCACAGCAGAGGGAGCTGGGGCTGGGGGCTAATGCGTGGCTTTGAACACCACTCCAAGGAGGCCAGATTTCATCCTTTAACAGCACAAAGCCCACAGATCACTTTAAGGTGTAGTGGGACACAATTTTTTCCCCAATAAGAACACTTCAATCAGCTGAGTGAGTAGAAAATAGAGGCTGGAAACCAGCAAAAATGGTGTTGTAATGCCCCTGCAAAGAAAGAAGCAAATAGACAAATCTAAGACCACAAAACATGGAAATGGGAAAGAAGAAAAGAAGTGGAGGCTGGGCACAGTAGCTCATGCCTGTAATCCTAACACTTTGGGAGGCCAAAGTGGGAAAACTGTTTGAGCCCAGGAGTTTGAGACCAGCCTGGGCAACAGAGTGAGGTCCTGTCTCTACAAAAAGTTAAAAAGATTAGCCAGGTGTGGTGGTGCACACCTGTAGTCCCAGCTGAGGTGGGAGGATAACTTGAGCCCAGGGGGTCAAGCCTTCACTGAGCTGTGATTGCGCCACTCACTCCAGCCTGGGTAACAGAGTGAGACCCTGTCTCAAAAAAAAAAAAAAAAAAAAAAACGAAAACGAGAAGAAATGTGAATTTCAAGAGATTTCTGCCTAGCACTTTTTTAAAAATCCCCAACTCCAGAATTTATGGTGACTTTTGTTAAAAGTCCTGTTTTAGGGAGGTCTTCATCTAACGAGCTCTAGGCAATTTTCTTAAAACTAATTCATCAAATGACTAATTCTTTGAATTTTTAAATTTTGTTTAAATCCTATTCAGTGTGATTCCCTCCTGCTGCAGGCTGGAGGCTGGGAGACAGAGGGAGACTGGGGAATGTCTTCTTGATTTATAGCATGTTTTCTAGTTAAGAAAATACTCAAGATAAATATATTTATTTATAACAATTTTCACATGAAAGACTTTATTCAAAAATATGTGCAAGAAAAAATTATTTATTCTTGACTCTGATGAATAATTGCAAATATGATTCCTATGAATAGTATATAAATTATATCTAAAACTATAAGGCTACAGACTATACGATTCCCTTCATATGACATTCTGAAAATGGCAAAATTATAGGGAAAGAAACAAGATCCATGTTGCCAGGGTTTGGGAAGTGGGAGAAGGGTTGGCTCTAAAGGAACGGCATGGGGGGAGATTGAGGAGGATGAAGGGATTCAGTGCGCCGAATATGTGACTCTACCATTTATCAAAATCCATAGAACTGTACACTACAAAAAGTGATTTTTAGGGTATGGAAATTCAGCAAATCAACCAGGATGTGGAGGGAAAGATGGAAAGCAGACTCTGACAAATGACTCATGTAAGCACAGTGAAACGGATGGAGAAGAAGGAGCTGGCCTAAGTAACTTTGAAAAACTGTTTTGAGTCAGGCATGGTGGCTCATGCCTGTAATCCTACCACTTTGGGAGGCCAAGGCAGGAGGCTTGTTTGAGTCCAGGAGCTTGAGATCAGCCTCAGCAACACAGCGAGAACCCCGCCTCTACAAAAAGTTAAAAAAATTAGCTGGGCATGATGGTGTGCCTGTAGTCCTAGCTGCTCAGGAGGCTAGGATGGAGGGATCGCTTGAGTCCAGGAGATCAAGGCTGCAGTGCTACTGCACCCCAGACTGGGTGACAGAGCAAGACCCTGTCTCAAATTTAAAAAAGAAAAAGAAAAGAAAAACTGTGTTTTGACCATAAAGCTAAAGACAAAAAAAAAAAAAAAATACAGAAACACTGTACTGTAGTTGGTAAATGTGTTTCTGGCAAGGGTATGAATTAGCAGTTCTGAAACCACTATTTGTTTATTAGGGTTGAAAAAATAAGTAAAAAAATATGTTTATAGACATTCGTAGCCATGTCAGAGAAAGGAGTTACAAATAAAGAAAAGGGAGAGACTAGAATGAACCCCATGTTGCTGGATTAAAGCTGGAGGTGTCAAAATGCACCCATGCTTGTGTTTAAAACACAGGTTGAGCAACCCTCATCTGAAAATCCAAAATGCTCCAAAATCCAAAACTTGCTGAGCACCAACATGACACCACAAGTCAACATACACAAACTTTGTTTCATGCACAAAATTATTTAAAATATCACGTAAAGTTACCTTCAGGCTACATGTATAAGATATATATAAAACATAAACAAATTTCATGTTTAGACTTGGGTCTCATCCACAAGATATCTCATTGTGTATATACAAATATTTCGAAATCCAAGAAATTGAAAATCCAAAACACTTACGGTCTCAAACATTTCAGATAAGGGATTCAATCTGTATATGCAGACAGGTAATTGCAGAAATAAATACAGACCTGTGTTTATGCATGAGTTAGTTTACATACATACGTTTCCTAGCTCTAACTTCCGTGGGGGCAAGAAGCAGTGACACCCACTATGAATGAGCACACCTAGTACCCAAATCTTGGTTTCTAAATATTATTCTCTAATACAAAGAGGAGCCAGAGCTCTGTGGAGAAATAGTTGATTCCAGGGCCTGGATGGACAAAATAAAAAATGAGCATGAAGCATCTTGTAATACCAGAATGCAAGAAAGTGTTTTAAAAAGGGATGGAGAGGGCCATGCACAGTGTCTCATGCCTGTAATCCCAGCACTTTGGGAGGCCCAGGCCTGGGGATCACCTGAGGTTCGTGAGTTGGAGACCAGCCTGACCAACTTGGAGAAAACTCTCCCTACTAAAATAATACAGAATTAGTTGGGCATGGTGGTGCATGCCTGTAATCCCAGCTACTTGGGAGGCTGAGGCAGGAGAATCACTTGAACCCAGGAAGCAGAGGTTGCAGTGAGCCGAGATTGCACCATTGCGCTCCAGTCTAGGCAACGAGAACGAAATTCCATCTCACACAAAAAAAAACAAAAAAACAAAATACCACGGATGGAGAGGCTGGGCACAGTGGCTTGAGCCTGTAATCCCAGCACTTTGGGAGGCCAAGACAAGTGGATTGCTTGAGCCCAGGAGTTTAAGACCAGCCTGAGCAATATGACAAAACTTTGTCTCTACAAAAAAAAAAAAAGTTAGCTGGGTGTGGTGGCGCACACCTGTTGTCCCAGCTACTTGGAAGGCTGTGGTGGGAGGATTAGTTGAGCTCAGGATACGGAGATTACAGTGAGCCAATATTGCACCACTGCACTCTAGCATGGGCAACAAAGTGAGACCCTGTCTCAAAAAACAAAACAAAATAGCAATGGAGATATCAGCTGGGTGTGCTGGTGCATGCCTGTAGTCCTAGCTACTTGTAGGAGGCTGAGGCAGGAGGATCCCTTGAGCCCAGGAGTTTGAGGCTGTATGATGATGCCACTGCAATTCAGCCTAGGAAACGCAGTGAAGTCTTGTCTCATAAATAAAACAAAACAAAAAAAGGATGGAGGACATTAAAACGGCACTGGAGCCCATCTGAAAGAGCTCCCAGTGGCCAAAGTTTGAGCAACAAAATAAATAGTGATAGTATTGGATCATAACTCACAGAACAAAATAAACATTTATGAGTCCATTCTGATATAAACAAATAGTTGAATAAATAAAATGGGGAGAGGGCACGACTTTTTCTTACAGAAGAATTTCAATTAATAAATGTAGAAGGAATCTAATCTATCACCATTAGGATTACACACCTGTAATCCCGGGTGCTCGGGAGGCTGAGGCAGGAGAATTACTTGAACCTGGGAGGGGAAGGTTGCTGTGGGCTGAGATCGTGCCATTGCACTCCAGCCTGGGCAGCAAGAGTGAAACTCTGTCTCAAAAAAATATATATAGTATTGTACCAACAATAACTTCTTAGCTTCTATAATTGTATATATAATCTCTCAGTTTCTATAATTGTACTATGTAAGATATTGACATGAGGAAAAGCTAGGGGAAAAATATACGGGAACTCTGTTAATTATTTTTGTAATTCTCTGTAAGTCTAAAATTATCTCAAAATGAAGTTTTAAAAATTCTAAAACAAAGCCAAACCAAAAAAATTCTATTGACCTGTACATGAAAAAGGGTGAATTTTATCATATGCAAATTATACCTCTTGACTTAGAAAATCAGATATTTTCCTTACTATACTCTTTTGAAATCTATTCATTAGTTATACTAAATACATACAAATTCTTTTGAGTGTGTTTAAATACTATGTTTGAAAATGTTGCTGGGTGATGTGGCTCACACCTGTAATCCCAGCACTTTGGGAGGCTGATGAGGGAGGATCTCTTGAGCTCAGGAGTTCGAGACCAGCCTGGGCAACATAGTGAGACCTTGTCTCTACTAAAAATAAAAAAACAATCAGCTGGGCATGGTGGTGCATGCATATAGTCCCAGCTACTCCGGAGGCTGAGGTGGAAGGATCACTTGAGCCTGGGAGATCGAGGCTGCAGTGAGCCGTGATAGCACCACTGCACTCCAACCTGGGCAATACAGCAAGACCCTGTCAAAAAGAAAGAAAGAGAGAGAAAGAGAAAGAGAAAGAAGGAAAGAAAGAAAGAAAGAAAGAAAGAAAGAAAGAAAGAAAGGAAGGAAGGAAAAGAGAAAATATTTAATACATTCAAATAATACTAGTAGTTAACATAGTCAGTTACATGTGGTAAACTAGCCATTCATTAAATTGATTTTCAGGAAATCAGCTGCCTTCTAAGAGAGGAACAATTCCCGGCCCACCTGCAATTTCACACTCCTCTTTTAGTTAGAAGGACACTGGGAAAGAGAGAGGCCCCACAAATGGTGAGAGACATCTCTGAATGAAGATGGGAACCAACAATGATCTTCTAAAGAGTGGGCAAGGCAGGGATAAGGGTCAGAGAAGGAGGAAAAGATGTGGGTATTCTCATTCAGGCCTGACCTCACCACAAGTGGACTAATTTTGTGCAGTGATATGGCTTGGCTCTGTCCCCACAGAAATCTCAACTTGAATTGTAGCTCCCACAATTCCCCTCATGCTGTGGGGAGTTTTTCTCTTTTCGCCAATCATCTTTCTCTTGCTATTCTCATGACTGTGAATAAGTCTCATGAGATTTGATGGGTTTATCAGGGGTTTCCGCTTTTGCTTCTTTCTCATTTTCTCTTGCCGCCACTGTGTAAGAAGTGCCTTTTGTCTCCCTCCGTGATTCTGAGGCCTCCCCAGCCATGTGGAACTGTAAGTCCAATTAAACTTCTTTTTCTTCCCAGTCTTGGGTATGTCTTTATCAGCAGCGTGAAAACAGACTAATACATGCAGTAATTGAGAAAGCTCACTGGGGTGAGGGCACTCGAGCAGGGGGAGCAAGGAGAGAGATCCGTGGGCTGGAGAGAAGCCAAGGAAGAGGATTTGGGTGGATGATTGAGCAAAGAGTGAGGTTTTAAGAGACAGAGAGATTGGGTGTTTTAGCCCCCTCATGAGTGTTCCTCTCCTTCTGTTGGAGGACCTTCTCTTGGTCCTTACCAAATGTCCTCTACCCTCTGACACCCAGCTCTCCTCCTGCCAAGCATCATCCCCCAGGCAGGCCTGGCCTATGCCCTCCTTGGTCATCCTGACTTTACTGTGGCCACCTGTGGGAAGGAAGGCCGAGGCCCTCCCTGAGCACTGAAACACCGGGTGGAGGATGGTTTTCAACTAGGCTCCACATCAGAAAGCAGTGCACTCACGCTGACAGGCTTGATCCCCTGTGGCTGCTCGACTCTGGGCTCTGGTCCAAAGCTGAGAGCCCCCCTTCCCCTCATGACAGCCTCTTCTGCCCTGCCCGGCCACTCCTTTGAGTGACAGGGGGTAATTGAGAAGCTGCTCCTCCCTCCAGGAAGGAAGACCCGGAGCTCTGGCTTCCCTCGGCAAAGCACATATAAACCCACAGCCACTGCGGGTGGAAGGAGAAGGGCAGGGTGGAAAAAGTTTGAGAGAAGGAGGGAGGAAAAGGTGTCCTGGCTAGCACCATGTGGATTCTCTTGAGATGAGAAGAAAATGCCCCGCTACGTCCCCCTTCTGCTGCTCCTGCTTCTCCTGAGGTGTTCAGAACGGGGTGGAGGAGTTAATTTTGGTGAGAAGGATGCAAAAGTCCCCGGGACCTGGAGAGATGGAGTCAGGGTCCCTGGAGAAGGAGCCTCTTGGGACTCAGACAGGGCCAGTCCCGAGCGAAGGTACGGAATAGGTGAGTGAACCTTGGGAACTCCGGACCCTGTTATCTACCCTCAATCACCTGCCACAGGGAAGCAGGGACCCCAGCGTCTTTCTCATATCCCCTTTTAAGGAAATGCTCTGCTTTTGATTTTGTGCATTTTATTTAAGTTTCTTTGTTTCAACTTTCCTGGAGAAATGAAAAATTTGGCACTCCTCTAATCCCAGCGCTTTGGGAGGATGAGAAGGAGTGGGATCCCTTGAGCCCAGGAGTTTGAGACAAGCCTGGGCGACATAGTGAGACACCATCTCTACAAAAACCAAAAAAATCAGCCAGGCGTGGTAGCCCATGCCTGTAGTCTAATCTACTCGGGAGGCTGAGGTGGGAGGATCACTTGAGGCCAGGAGGCCAAGGCTGCATTGAGCCATGATTGTGCTACTGAACTCTAGCCTGAATCACAGAACAAGACCCTGTGTCAAAAGAGAGAAAGAAAAAGAGAAAGAAACGGTCAGGTGCAGTGGCTCATGCCTGTAATCTTAGCACTTTGGGAGGCTGAGGCGGGTGGGTCATCTGAGGTCAGGTGTTTGAGACCAGCCTGGCCAGCATGGTGAAACCCAGTCTCTAGTAAAAATACAAAAATTAGCTGGGTCTGGTGGCGCACGCCTGTAATCCCAAATACTTGAGAAGCTGAGGCAGGAGAATCGCTTGAACCTGGGAGGTGGAGGTTGCAGTGAGTGGAGATCGCGCTATTGCATTCCAGCCTGGATGACAGAGGGAGACTCCGTCTCAAAGAAAAAAAAAAAAAAGAGAGAGAGAGAGGGAAAGGAAGGAAGGAAGGAAGGAAGGAAGACTTGAACCCTATTAGAAAAATGTGGAGCGTCAGCAGTAGGGAGGGATGACTAGATTTGGGCAGAGTACCAAAAGTTCAAAATTTATGCCATGTAAGCTACATGTATTCCTAAGAATAAGAATACTCCCAAGTCCTGACGGCTGCCTGGGGCAGTGAGGGCTGGAGACGAAGAGGACTCATCTCTTCTTTGTACTTATACCTGACTCAGTGTTGCCCTCAGTCCAACTAGATCACACCCACACCCCTCATGACTCCTCCCCTAAGCCTGCCCCCATACCACCTTGAATCTTCCCTGCCTCCAAGCCTACCACGTTAGCCCCAGATCTGACCCAGAAGCTGTCTCATGCTTTTTTTTTCCTTTTTTGAGATGGAGCACCTGGCCAGCTGTCTCATTTTAAATCATATACCAAGCATGACCTGAGTGTAATCTCTAACATGAATCACAGCTTCTGCCTCATTGGTTTGCCAGAACCGCAGGCACAAATGGATGAGAGGAGACACCTATGAACATGGAGCCAGAATACCCCAATTGCTGAAACACCAGTTCAGAGAGGAGTGAGCTTGAGAAAGAGTCAGGTTTAGTGTCCCACGGAAAGAGACCAGACCTGGAAAAGACAGAGTCAAAGCTGGGTGAGCAGGCCTTCGAAGGGCGTGGCTCAGCAAAGATAATCCATATTGTAGTGCAAGAGGATTCTTGTGGAATATGTTTTACCAGAATTAAACCAAAAATGCCAAATGATCCCTAACTGGAATAAATCTCACCACATTACCTGGGGAGAGGTGTCATTTGGATGTGAGGATAGTTATGAAAATACTGAGCAGAGCAGATGAGGATAGGCCATCAACAATTCACATTAAATGAGATTACTTTTTAGTAGGACTAAGCCAAAGCATTTCCACTAAGCACCCAGAGACCAGCCCTAAAGACTCAAGAATAAGAGAAAATGATGTAACTGCAGATGGAAGGACCACTGAGGACCACATCACTGCAGACCCAGGGACCACCGAGGACTCTGTCACTGCAGACCCAGGGACCACTGAGGACAATGTGACTGTGGACCCAGGGACCACCGAGGGCTCTGTCACTGCAGACCCAGCGACCACCAAGGACTATGTGTCTGCAGACCCAGGGACCACCAAGGATTCTGTCACTGCAGACCCAGGGACCACTCACTGAGAACTTTGTCACTGCAGACCCAGGGACCACCAAGGACTCCATCACTGCAGACCCAAGGACCACAGAGGACTCCGTCACTGCAGACCCAGGGACCACCAAACACTCCATCACTGTAGACCCAGGGACCACTGAGGACTCTGTCACTGCAGACCCAGGGACCACCAAACACTCCATCACTGCAGACCCAGGGACCACCGAGGACTCCGTCACTGCAGACCCAGGGACCACAGAAGATGAAACCACTAAACATGGTGACACTCACCTTCTGTGAACTACTTCAGTCACAGCAGTGAAACCCACCAGGCTCCTGACACCCATGGGAATTATCCTCATATCCCTGGCTGCAACCACAGTCACTGTTGTGCTCTTTGTTGGATTGGGCTTCATTGTGGTGAGTATTTGGTCTGGGAATATTCAGGGCATCAGGGGAACGAGGCCAACTGAGGATAAGCGGTGGGCATGGAGAGCTGAGGTACAGAGGCCCAAGAAATCGTCAGGCGTGAGGAAGCCTACATAGAGAGAGCTCTGCAAAGACTCCTGGAAAGACAGAGGTGGAGAGAAAGGAAAAGAGCACCTGGCACAAAAGATGCAGAAAGCATTGGGGACAGAGGAAGCTGTGAGAGACAGGAAGGAGAGAAAGGGAAGAGAGGCTGAGAGTGAGAAACATAAGAACACAAACATGGTAAGACACAGCGGGAGTCAGGGCAAAGCATGAACCGTTAGGTACAGATGGATGTAAAAGAGGAAATTTTCCTAAGAAGACAAGGAACTGGGGACCAGAGGAGTGGATGAATTAGAAACATTCTGGGTGGTCCACTCATATCAGAAATTACATATTCTTGTGTTAATTACTACCTACTCTGAAGTTCTGAAGAAGATTTTTTTAAAACCAAAATTGAGTGGGTTTTTATGAGCCACCACTACCCTGCACCAAAGAGACAGTTTGTACCAGCTCTCAAAGAGGAGCTCTGGGTATTTTTCTGTCTCTGAGGGTCCCTGTTGTTTCTACAAGAGGAGACAAAAGAATTCCATGCCAGCCCTGCATGTTTCATCTCACCAAACTCCCAGCTGGAATCATCCCAAAAGCAGCAGCAGGGAAATTCCCACAGGGAGTGGCCCAAACCCTCCAGAGATGGGGCCAATTGGGATTCCAAAGAAAGAAGCCCAGATGTCAGGGTGATCAATTCAAAGCATTTATTAGGGGAACTTACAGAGGACTGCAGCAATCCTCCCTGCCGACAGGGAGGGAAAAGGGATGTTCTGCCTAAGCATGTCTGTAGCAAGGGGGTCAGGGTATGGAGTTTATATGAGGGTTTAGGGAATTTGACTCAGGGCTGGAGCCAGTTTCTTTCAACGTTTTGGGCAACAACCTAGATACCTTTATTAGTGCCTGGGAGTGTTCAAGGCCCTGGTTTGCGTTCAAGCCTGCTGGGGAAAACCTGCAGCTGGCTGGGTCACAGAACGGTCAAGGCAATCTGTGATTTTTGGTCAGTCTGATCAGAAAGAAAAGGAGGTGATCTGGGGGACCCCACATTGTGGCTTCCTCTCGCTAACATTTGATCTAAAACCCAAGCCTCCTGCTTCTGGCCTGCTGCTTGAGGGGGAAGGGCTGGTCCTTTTTGGCCATCCTGACCTACGGATTAAGTGCATGTCGAAATTTTAACAAGTGGCGGCTTGCAGGATTAGCCAACTCGGGCAGGTCATTAAAGCCTCGTTAATTCTTGCGGTCATTGATGCCATTGTGCACTGACCCCTGCTCCAAGATGCAAATCCACAGCTTTGGATCAGTTTGTAAGTGTGAGTAAAGCCGAAAGTAATGCATGATACAGATGAGGTGTTCACATTTAATTCTGCTAAAATGACACCATGAAACTAGAGCATTCTGAAGGATGCTGACAAGAGGAAAATGGAATGAAAGCGTCCATATGTACCTGACTCATGCATGAGTCATGTTCAGTATTCACCAGTAGAGGGAGGACCTTCTGGACTTCGCTGTTACCATAAACAATTGGATTTCTGATCATGTGGATCACCATGAAAAGTTGGACACTCTTGCTCTAGAACAAAAGATGCTTTCCTTCCTCCAAACCAGGCATTGGCCCAGAGAGGTCACTAGCATTAGCACCTTCTTAATTTCATGTAGAGACTAAAAACAAGAGATGGCTCAAAAGGCTCAGGGTGTGGGAAGTAAGAGGAAAGTCTATGCTCCCAAACTTGCTAAATTTTTGACTTTTAAACCTTTAACTCGAAAAGTTTTAAAAATAAGAACTATATTACCATTCCTCCCAAGTTTCATTTGTCAAAATGCTTTTTTCTTTAAACTTTAATGGTTTAAGTTTTTTTTAAGTTGTTTTAAAAAAAACAAAAAAGGTTTAAGTTTTTTTTGGCAGGGTGCGGTGGCTCACGCCTGTAATCCCAGCACTTTGGGAGGCCGAGGTGGGTGGATCACGAGGTCAGGACTTTAAGGCCAGCCTGGCCAATATGGTGAAACCCCATCTCTACTAAAACTACAAAAAAGTTAGCCAGCCATAGTGGTGGGCACCTGTAATCCCAGCTACTTGAGAGACTGAGGCAGAGAATTGCTTGAACCCGGGAGGCAGAGGTTGCAGTGAGCTGAGATCGTGCCATTGCACTCCAGCGTGGGCAACAGAGCGAGACTCCATCTAAAAAAAAAAAAAAACAAAAGGCTTTTTTTTCCCCCTAAATGTCGTCCACATTTTTGGCAAGTATTGATCTCTAGTAGTCAGTGTCAGGATCTGAAGAAAACAGTGACATCTAGCAGACTCCCAGAGCCAGGGAAACAGGCTGGGCAGAAGTGATAAATTACAAACCACCAGGGTTAAGAGAAGAACAGAGTGTTAAAACCAAACCATTTTCTTCCTCCCTAGAAAGAGTGTTTCCTGCCTCCATTAAATCCATCCACCAGGGTTATTTATCATCCCCATGTCATGGACTACAGTACACCATAAAGAGGACCCCAGCAGTGACTACAGTTGGTTCTAGAAAAAGGAGACCCCTCATCCGCCTCTGCAAGACTATGCAGCATGATGTGTATCCTCAGGCCTCCACTCCTCCGCCCTAGTCTGGAGCCCTGGGACCACCACATGAGGAAGGCAGCTGGCCCCTGGAATAAGCATGTGGAGGACACTCAGAAGGATGCCCATCTGCTCTGAGTGTCTCCTAATTCTGCCTGACCTTGGTTACTTCCTCTGGACAATCGCCTTTACCTATCTACCAGGTTTTGAGGAATTACACACAGCTCAGGTATAAGAGATATTCGGTAAGTCTGATCAAATCAATAAAGCAAATTTTATCTGTTTTTGTCTGGGACATATCTCTACATTCATTCATTTAACCAAAAAAAAAAAAAATGTTTTTTTTGAGACGAAGTTTTGCTCTTTTGCCCCGGCTGGAGTGAAGTGGCGCGATCTCAGCTCACTGCAACCTCTGCCCCCCAGGTTCAAGTGATTCTCCTGCCTCAGCCTCCCTAGTAGCTGGGATTACAGGCGCATGCCACCACGCCTGGCTAATTTTTGTATTTATAGTAGAGACAAGGGTTTCACCATGTTGGCCAGGCTGGTCCCGAACTCTTGACCTCAGGTGATCCACCCGCCTTGGCCTCCCAAAGTGCTAGGATTACAGGCATGAGCCACCGCACCTGGCCTTAACAAAATATTTATTCAGTGCCTAGCATGAGCTCAACACTCTACGTCTCCCAGTCTGTCTATCTCAGTCTACCTGTAAGCTGAAGGATACAACTTATCTCTTAAGAGGACTATGCCCGCGTTCTCCTACCACCCAGGCCAAAGGGTCACATTTACAGGATGTAGTCAACTGGTCATTCAGCAAGTATGTATGAGCACCTGTGTGGGACTGGCCACCGTAGCAAATAAATGAGTCTCATCTTAGTCAATCGCGGTGTGAAATGAGGACACGAAGTCCAGACCTAACCTCTAAGAGAAAAGCCCTGCCTGATAGAAGAAGAGATTTGTCCTTACTTAATGCAAATGCACCATATTCATGCACCTATGAATGATGGCTAAGACCACAGACAAGGCCGGGGCATTGGATATAACAGCTCTGTGAGGAGCTCAGGACAAAAACCAAAGAATCAAAGATATGTGAAGACAGTTGATTATTGTTTGCTCACTACTGATGCCACTATGAGCAGCATCACCACCAGTGTTAAATAATGGAATTGTAGTATTATGATACAGAGTCGGAAACACGGAATAATAAATTAAAATACTAAAGTGAAAAAATTGGATTGATTAAATAAATATTAAACCAATATTTCTCAGACTTATGTGATAAACACCTTTAAAGGAAAAGATACATATATATTTTTGAGACAGAGTCTCATTCTGTTGCCCAGGTTGGAGTCCAGTGGTGCGATCTTGGCTCACTGCAACCTCCACTTCCTGGGTTCAAGCGATTCTCCTTCCTCAGCCTCCGAGTAGCTGGGATTACAGGCGTGCACCACCATGCCTGGCTAATTTTTGTATTTTTAGTAGAGATGGAGTTTCACCATGTTGCCCAGGCTGGTCTTGAACTCCTGACCTCAGGTGATCCACCCGCCTTGGCCTCCCAAAGTGCTGGGATTACAGTGTGGGCCACCGTGCCTGGCTGGAAAAGAGATTTTTTGAGAACTCGCCATGTTGGCTTAAACGTAAATATATATGAAACAGAAAATGAAGTATAAACTCCTTATGCTTATAGCTCTACTGTTCCAATAACGTTAGAAGTAACAGCAGTAGTTTAATGTAATGCATGATATTTCTTTACTGAAGAATTCTTCGCTCCAACATTAATATTGTAGTGATTGCTACAGCCTAGTTTCTCAAATCTCATTTGCCACTTGATGTTTTCCTTCTTTCATGGATCGTCTCTGTACAAGCTCTCTCAAGACCTTCAGTCTCTCAGTCAGCTGCGGGATTATTGGGCCCTTAATGCAAATGCACTGTTTAAATTTTAAGACAGTTCTCGTTCTACTCTTGTTAGGCTGTGCAATTGTAAAGACTAATCATTTCTATTAGCTTTATGTTGGTTTTATATTGGTCATCAATAGAATCCAGGAAATGCTTATATTATGGGGATTTTCAAGATTATTACCTGAAGGAAAACGTGACAGAAACAGCTCTAGTCTCCCCTTCCCTTACACTTGGAGAACCTGAGTTTTGGGGGTGATGGTAATGTGCCCAGCTGAAGAAAACCATTTCCCAAATCCCCAATTTCCCGGTCCCCCTTGCAGCCAGTGCAGTGAGGAGATACAGCTCTGGCCAATGTGATAAAGGCATAAGTTCCTGGGGATGGTGTCCCTTCCAGATGAAAAGGCCAAAGCTCATGAGGAGAAAGCCCTTTGCCCCTTCCCCTTCGTTCCTCTTCCTACCTGGAATGCAGATATGAGACCTGGGGCTCAGCAATGCTGAGGTCAGGGGGAGACCCACAGCAGGGTGAAGGCTTCAAGCTGAGAGTGGAGCAGAGGGAAGAAATCACTTGGGTGCCCGATGGCAATACTGAGCCCTGGGCTGCTCCTCTCGGACATTTCGTATATGAGATGAGCAGTGTGCCGGAGCTCAGTGAGGTGAGCTTCTTGTGATTCCAGCTAAATGGGATCCTAAATGATATGACACATAAACATCATCTAGAACATGCAGACTTCTGCGAATATCTCCATGACACATTTGGGAAGACACAGTGCTCAGGATTTTAAGAATGTGGGAGCTACACATAGTGGGGAATGGGAGAATAATAAAATGATCTCCCTCTTCTGCCCCCATGGAGGCAGCAAGTGGCCAAGGGAGAATTTTGTGATTAGAGATACTTGCATGAATATCAGTTTATTGCAGGAAAAAAGAGTGACAGAAGAGTCTCTTGGTTAATATACAGGCAGGAAAAGTCCAATGTGTTTCTATAAAATCTTCCTCCTGAAGTTCAGGCTGGGGTTTGGGGCTGGGCATTTGTCAAAGGGTATTGGCAAGCACAAGGAATTCCAGAATCTGCCTTGGTCTTCAAGGGGGCAGAACTTTTGGTCTCGGTACAAGCTAGGTTTGTGCAATAAACAAAGGAATTGCTAGAGCTACAAATTCTAGCTGAGAAGTCTGTGTGCTTGAGTTTCTGCACCTCAAGGACAACTTAGAGCAATTGAAGAGACCATGAAATCTCTGTAAATGGCATAGAAACTTTAGCATGCAAAAGCATGCATGCAAAAACGCTAGCATATCAAAAGCTTTTCTTTTCTTTCAATCAAGTTAATTTCTGGCCAGGCAGGATGACACACCTGTAATCGCAGCACTTTGGCAGACCGAGGTAGGAAGATCACTTGAGCTCAGAAGATCTACACCAGCCTGGGCAACATGGTGAGACCTTGTCTCTACTAAAAATAAAAAAAAAATTAGCCGAGTGTGGTGGCACATGCCTGTAGGCTCAGATACTTGGGAGGCTAAGGCAAGAGGCTCGCTTGAGCCCAGGAGGTGGAGGCTGCAGTGAGCCATGACTGTGCCACTGTACTCCAGCCCGGGCGACAGAGCAAGATCCTGTCTCAAAAAAAAAAGAAAAAAAGAAAGAAAGAAAGAAAAAGGCTGGGCACAGTGGCTCACGCTTGTAATCCCAACACTTTGGGAGGCTGAGGCAGGAGGATTGCTTGAGGCCTGGAGTTCAAGACCAGCCTGGGCAACATAGTGAGACCTCGTCTCTACAAAAAAATTAAAAATTAGCTGGGTATGGTAGTGTATGCCTGTAGTCCCAGCTACTTGGGAGGCTGAGGTGAGAGGATTGCTTGAGCCCAGGAGGTCGAGGCAGCAGTGAGCTGTGATCATGTCACTGCCCTCCATCTTGGGCAACAGAGAGAGACCTTGTCTCGAAGAGAAAAATAAAAGAAAGAAAATGTTAATTTCTGCTCCTGTCAGATTAGAGGGAAATTCAATCTCAGTCTTTTTGCTGCTCTCCAAAGATCCCAGAGTTGTACATAGGATTGAAGCATAAGGAACATCCTTAAAGTCAGTAGCAACTGGCCTGTACTAATTATTCCCAGGATACGCATATCCCTTTGTGGCAGCAGTTCTGCCAGAGGCACAGGGGCTTTACCCAGTCAGTCTCCTTCAACTTGCCACGTAGCTTTCTCCAGAATAAGTCCACCCCCTCAGGGTGCTACCGTGAAGGAGAGTATGGTTTTGGCATTTGAGAGCCCAGAGAGATATACATGAAGATCTGGTCTCTGGAGAGTATTGAAGGTAGAAAAGACAAGGAGAAGATGCTGCAGAACACCCATAAGGGAAGAAAAAAAAAATGAAGCCTCAATGAATAAGGGAAATACCTTTCTAACCACTCCTGGGACCTGAACTACAAGATTTGGTAGTTGACTCTCAAACCATAATATACTCATACTCAGATGACACTTATAAGTTGTCGCACATATCTGTGCATTCCATGCCTTTGGTAAATGCATACAGTTAATCATACAGCTAATCCTCCTTTTCTCTTTATGAAGTCCAGTGTTTAAAGGACCTCTTCAGGTGTCATCAAGGAGTCATACCAGGTCCAGCTGAACCCAACTTGCACAAGTCCAGATTGAGGACACCAGGCAAGTAAGCACACCCCTCTAGATTGTGCCTGAACAGGATTTATGCCTTTTGGGGAGTGTCACCTCTCATTAAAACGTCTGCGAATGCACACTCTGGTCCAGTCCCCTGTCTTTCTAAACAAGAATGTTTGGTGAAGCAACAGTGATTCAACACTCTCCCTTAGCGAGGTATTGTTTGACACCTTAGAAAACACGTAGTTATTTTTCAGATCTATTCAGGACCTTTCTTGTGATTCATCTAAAACAAACCCCTCTCTTCAGTCTCTACAGATTACCATATTTATTTTCTTTATGGAGCTGACGACAATCTGAACTTATGCTTATTTACGTGTTAACTTATTTGTTTTATGTCTGTCTCCTTCCACTAGAATGTCAGTTCCTTGAGAATAGGGGTTTTGAGGACAATATATGAGATAGATTAGATATTTAATAATCATATGCTTCATTGAGCCTCTGATGCACATCTTCCCCATTGGATCGTAATCTAAAATTGAGATGTCGGATGGGCGTAGTGGCTCACACCTGTAACCCCAGCACTTTGGGAGGCTGAGGCAGGTGGATCACTTGACGTCAGGAGTTGGAGACCAGCCTGGCCAACATAGTGAAACCCCGTCTCTACTAAAAATACAAAAATTAGCTGGGCGCTGGTGGCACACACCTGTAGTCCCAGCTACTCAGGAGGCTGAGGCAAGAGAATCACTTGAACCTGGGAGGTGGAGGTTGCAGTGAGCCGAGATTGCACCACTGCACTCCAGCCTGGGTGACAGAGTGAGATGCTGTCTTAAAAAAATAATAATAAAAATAAAATGGAGATGTCCACTGGCTGCAGTGGTTCAGGCCTGTAATCCCAGGACTTTTGGAGGACAAGGTGGGAGGATTGCCCAGAGCTAGGAGTTAGAGACCTGCCTGGGCAACATCGCAAGACACTGCCTAAAAAAAAAAACCAAGAAACGTTTAAAAATGGAAAAGTGTCTTACACTTGATAGCACATCATGAACCAGTCAGTAGCACTCTTTCTTCCTTAGTGGGGCATAAGTAATGCTGCATCTTGCATTCAACGTCATCTTAGATGGGATGAAATACACATTTTGGAATAAACGAATAAATGTATGCTTTCTTTTGGTGCTATTTCTTCTGTTTTGGTCTTATTTGTAAACACAAGGAAATTAGGATTCCTTTTTTTTTTTTTTTGAGACAGAGTCTCACTCTGTCACCCAGGCTGGATTGCAATGGTGTGGTCTCAGCTCACTGCAACCTCCGCCTCCCAGGCTCAAGCAATTCTCCTGCCTCAGCCTCCTGAGTAGCTGGGACTATAGGCGCGTGCCACCACACCCGGCTAATTTTTGTATTTTTAGTAGAGACAGGGTTTCACTATGATGGCCAGGCTGATCTCGAACTCCTGACCTTGTGATCCACCCACCTTGGCCTCCCAGAGTGCTGGGATTACAGGTATGAGCCACTGCACCTGGCCTAGGATTCCTTTAGTAACTGTCTAGTATGGTGCTGGGAATTCTTTTGGGAACAGAGGCAGCCAACCAACAGAAGTGAATGACATAGTTCTTACCCTCAAGGACAAGAAAACCAGCAATTACAGTGCAACATGCTAAGTGCTACAATAAAGGAATGCTTTCGGGCAGAGTCCAGAGAAGGGATCTCATTCAGCCTGTGCAGATCCTGGAAAGCTTCCCAAGGGATAGGGTAACTGACCGGAGACTTGTGACATATTTGTGGGGCACTTTGAGCTGCTGTCACATATGTGGATTCTTTTGATCTTCACATCACCTCTGTGAGGTAGGAGAACCATCCTGTCTTAGAAATGCAAAGACTGAAGTTCAGAGAAGTTAAATAAATTGTCCCCAAACCTCCTTAACGGTAAGTGGCAGGGAGGGGTGGGGGGTGAGGGAGTTAAACTCAGGTTTCCTGGCTCCAGGATTACTCACTTTTTATCTCATTTGGACTGAATCTCAAGTGATGAACTGTTCTGCACTGTCTCTACAAAAATCACTCACAGGTATGAACACTTTTATCCTTCAGTCTTCTCTTCTTTAGGCTTGCAATGGCAGGCTCTCGGATCTTTCCTCCAATCTGTATTGGGTTTTGAGCCAAGCAAGAAAAACCAGACACAGTCCCTATTCTTGAGGAGCCCCCAGTCTGAAAACAAGTCGTGGATACACAGAAAAAACATTCTTGTGTGTGTGATGGATGGTAGGGAACGTGTCATCAATTGTGACATTTATGGCATTTATTTGCCTTTACTAGTGAGTTCTGCTTTTTAAGATGTTTGCGACTTCTCAGGCCTCACCCTCAAAAGAATTTGAAAATTGAACACAAGCAGAGATGTTTTGTTTTCAACTCAGGACCTCACCCAGAGTTTTTTAGGCAGCAACCCTGAACCAAGTTGGCCTCGAGGTATTCGTGAGTTTCCATACCCAGAAGACTTTTTCAGCTTCTACCTTCTACCCATGAAAGGAGGTGGCATGGATGTTTCCTTTTTCTTTTTCTTTTTTTTTTTTTTTAGTATTTATTGATCATTCTTGGGTGTTTCTCGGAGAGGGGGATTTGGCAGGGTCATAGGACAATAGTGGAGGGAAGGTCAGCAGATAAACAAGTGAACAAGGGTCTCTGGTTTTCCTAGGCAGAGGACCCCGCGGCCTTCCGCAGTGTTTGTGTCCCTGGGTACTTGAGATTAGGGAGTGGTGATGACTCTTAACGAGCATGCTGCCTTCAAGCATCTGTTTAACAAAGCACATGGTGCACCGCCCTTAATCCATTTAACCCTGAGTGGACACAGCACATGTTTCAGAGAGCACGGGGTTGGGGGTAAGGTTATAGATTAACAGCATCCCAAGGCAGAAGAATTTTTCTTAGTACAGAACAAAATGGAGTCTCCCCTGTCTACTTCCCTCTACACAGACACAGCAACAATCTGATTTCTCTATCTTTTCCCCACATTTCCCCCTTTCTATTCGACAAAACCGCCATCGTCATCATGGCCGGTTCTCAATGAGCTGTTGGGTTCACCTCCCAGACGGGGTGGCTGCCGGGCAGAGGGGCTCCTCACTTCCCAGTCGGGGCTGCCGGGCGGAGGTGCCCCTCACCTCCCGGACAGGGCGGCTGGCCGGGCGGGGGCTGCCCCCCCACCTCCCTCCCTGACGGGGCGGCTGCCGGGCGGAGATGCTCCTCACTTCCCAGACGGGGCGGCTGCCGGGCGGAGGGGCTCTTCACTTCTCAGACGGGGCGGCCGGGCAGAGACGCTCCTCACCTCCCAGACGGGGTCGCGGCTGGGCAGAGGCGCTCCTCACATCCCAGACGGGGCGGCGGGGCAGAGGCGCTCCCCACATCTCAGACGATGGGCGGCCCGGCAGAGATGCTCCTCACTTCCTAGATGGGATGGCGGCCGGGAAGAGGCGCTCCTCACTTCCCAGACTGGGCGGCCAGGCAGAGGGGCTCCTCACATCCCAGACAATGGGCGGCCAGGCAGAGACGCTCCTCACTTCCCAGACGGGGTGGCAGCCGGGCAGAGGCTGCAATCTCGGCACTTTGGGAGGCCAAGGCAGGCAGCTGGAAGGTGGAGGTTGTAGCCAGCCGAGATCACGCCACTGCACTCCAGCCTGGGCAACATTGAGCACTGAGTGATTGAGACTCCGTCTGCAATCCCAGCACCTCGGGAGGCCGAGGCTGGCAGATCACTCGCGGTTAGGAGCTGGAGACCAGCCCGGCCAACACAGCGAAACCCCGTCTCCACCAAAAAAATACGAAAACCAATCAGGCGTGGCGGCGCGCGCCTGCAATCCTAGGCACTGGGCAGGCTGAGACAGGAGAATCAGGCAGGGAGGTTGCAGTGAGCTGAGATGGTGGCAGTACAGTCCAGCTTCGGCTCGGCATCAGAGGGAGACCGTGGAGAGAGAGGGAGAGGGAGAGGGAGAGGGAGACAGTGGGGAAAGGGAGAGGGAGACCGTGGGGAGAGGGAGGGGGAGAGGGAGACCGCGGGGAGAGGGAGAGGGAGAGGGAGGGGGAGAGGGAGACCGTGGGGAGAGGGAGAGGGAGGGGGAGAGGGAGACCGTGGGGAGAGGGAGAGGGAGAGGGAGGAGAGGGAGAGGGAGGGGAGGGAGAGGGAGGAGAGGGAGGAGAGGGAGAGGGAGGAGAGGGAGAGGGAGGAGAGGGAGAGGGGGAGGGGGAGGAGAGGGAGGGGGAGGGGGAGGGAGAGGGAGAGGGAGGAGACTGGATGTTTCCTTTGATCATCTATCACATCTTTGCAGAGGACATATAAGCCTGTGCATGGCTATGAGAACACAGTGGAGAGCCATGTAAATAGCTTTTGCCTTCAAGGTGCCTGGCAGAAGCGAATGAATATTGCTGTCATGTACATGCAAACGTTGTGAAATGCTTCAATGTTCCACATCTTCTTTGGAGACCTTTAAGAAATTCATGGAACTTTCAGCAGTGATATTTACCACCAACAATGTAATCAAATGGGGCAGCAAGCAAAATGAGCTACTACTAATGCACCATGGAGCAGAGGAATTTTCTCTTGCGCTAACACCACAACAGACCCATTCTTTCATTTGGATTAGTATTCACTACTTGTGCTTAGTTGCTTGCAGTGGATACCCAATTTGTGAAGTGAGCTGAGGTATAATGCAGTATTGTATACTGGAACACAGGGGCTGCAAAAGCAGAACTCACTAACAAAGTCAAATGCCATGAACGTCACAATTGATGAAAACTGGCCATTTGAAAAATCTAGATATGATAAAATTGTTAAATTGATGAGGATGAAGATTGGATTATAGTATATATTCAGCATGCAAAAACAGATAATCAGGGGAAATGCAGTGACAGTCAAAGCAACTATGGAAACAATATCCATGGCAACAAATGGCCTGGTCGGAAGAGAGGCCCAAAGACTGCCTGTGTCTTCCTGATGAAATGTCTGGTAGCCCCCTAGTGGCAATGACCGGGTAGTGGCCCTCTGCGAGATGGGCGCCTCTCTGGAGATTGAGCGCCACTTCTGAGGGCCTGGAGAAGTTGACTTGTTTTGCATCCCACGGGGTCACCCCCACCTCCCCCTTTCCTTGCACTCACTGACATGAGACACAACGTATGTCCACAAACAACTGCTGCTCCTCATTGCATCTAAAGCTCCGTTGCCGGAAAACATACCATTATTTCATGCAGCACTAAGAGGAAAACACAGCGGGTTAAACTATGACACGCCATTGATTGTAAGACGCATCCCTATTCAAGAGATGATAAATGGGAAAATAAATATATGTCTTACAACCTATAAAATATAAATGACTTTCGGCATTTATATTATATTACAGGGTGAGGTGGCTCACACCTGTAATCCCAGCACTTTGGGAGGCCGAGGCGAGTGGTTTGCTTGAGCTCAGGAGTTGGAGACCAGCTCGGATAACATAGCAAGACTCTGTATTTAAAAAATATATATATATATATGTATATATATACACACACACATATATATAAATGACTTTCAGTGATTCATTTAACATTTTCAGATACTTGTTCCCTCACAAACTAAACAACTAAACCATTAATTAATTAATTCACTCATTCTACTCACATTTATTAAGTGTGGATTATTGGACAAGCACACTGACGTCAACACTGAGGATACAGCAGTGAGCTGGTGTCCTGTCTTTAGGGGGCTTTTGTTACAGTGACTTGGTTTCTGATTATCTTTGTCACACTGAATCTGTGAGTCAGTGAGTCCGTGACCCTAAGTGAGTTTCAGAGTGAAAACAGACACCAGATAAGAAGCCAGAAAACCTGGGTTCTAGTCTAGTTCTTCCCCTTAATAGTTTATTTAATCTGTCTCAACCTTATTTTATCTACTTATAGTCTATCACGGTTAAATTGAGAAATAGTTATATTTTTCTCATAGCAGAGTCTTTCAAACAATACGCAATGACAATCAAAATAGCAAAGTAGCTGTGGAAACAGTGTCCATGGCGACCAATGGTCCCATCTTTTCTTTCTTTCTTTTTTTCTTTCTTTCTTTCTTTCTTTCTTCTTCTTTTTCTTTCTTTTTCAAGGTCTCTGAGTTTCAAGTCAAGCCTAAAAAAAATTTTAAGTTTTTTTAATTTGCTGGAATGCAGTGGCATGATCATGGCTCATAGAAGCCTTAATCTCACTGGCTCAAGTAATCTTCTCACCTCAGCTTCCCAAATAGCTGGGATCATAGGCATGCACCACCATGCCCTGCTACGTTTTATTTTTATTTTTTCAATAAAGATTAGGTCTCACCATGTTGCCCAGGCTGGCCTTGAACTCCTGGACTCAAGGTATCTTCCAGCCTCAGCCTCCCAAAGTGCTGGGATTATAGGCATGAGCCACAGCACATGGACCTCATCTTTCTTTCATGTCACTAGATCAAGAAAGCTCCAGAGTTTTTCTTGTTCCCTTCAGGTGTCAAGCAATATCATTTTATGTATATAAACATCTAATTCAGAATAGTTTCACTCTTTTTTCCTATTGTCCTGCATAAAGCTTCCCCCTCCCCAGTGGACAGACTGCAATGGGCTGGCATCTGACATTTGTCTGCAGACCTCATGGTAGGAGACAGGCTGGTTTTCTGCCCTGGGAGTGGGAGTGTAGGAAAGGAGGAGGCACTGGGGACCTGTATCCCAGGTTTTCAGGGCAAGGCTGTGTAAGTATTTCCAGCAGACTAGTGTGAGGCATGCTAGGAAGCGAGCTGATGTGGAGCCGAGCTAATCCTGTCTGATGTGGCCACCTACAGGCATCAACAGGCCTCAGCAGAGAGAAGCTGAAGTGATTACTGCATTCCTATGAGCTGTGGGAGGAATAAATCGTGGAAAGAAATCCTCATTTGCAACTGTATGGCATTAGGGGTGAGGGGTCTCGGAAGAAGCACCCAAGGAGGAGGAATCCCCTGTAAGCCCCTACCAGTCCCAGAGAATGCAAAGCCCTCTTGCAAACCGTGCCTGCTCCACGCCCCAGACCACTCCTTCCCCCAACCCTTCCCCATTCTACTCAACCTTGGAGGGTTAGAAACCACCATTAGCAAGACAGGAGAAGAAGGATAGATGCATAATGTTGAGGACCTGTTTCCCCATTTCTCATCTTCCCATCCTTGCAAAGCCCTTGCTGGAGGAAAGGAGACTTACCTTTGGAACTAAACGTTGAGTTTCTGAATTGGCATTGTGTTTGGTAATATAAAATAACTACAGGACCTAAGAGAGATCAGAACAGTCTTAGTACTGTCCATATTTTCATCTTGGAATGGGGAAAACTGGCTCCACTGAGCAAGTTAAGGACGTCATAGACTGATCTGTAGATGTTCAATGAAATCTGTAATTCAAGACTAAATAACGTATTCTTGGCTGGGCACAGTGGCTCACGCCTGTAATCCCAGCACTTTGGGAGGCCGAGGAGGCGGGCGGAGGGCAGATCACCCGAGGGCAGGAGTTTGAGATCAGCCTGGCCAAAGTGGTGAAACCCCATCTCTATTAAAAATACAAAAATTAGCCAGGCGTGGTGGTGTGCACCTGTAATCTCAGCCACTCGGGAGGCTGAGGCAGGAGAATCACTTGAACCCACGAGACAGAGGTTACAGTGAGCCAAGATCATGCCACTGCACTCCAGCCTGGGCTACAAGAGCAAGACTCCATCTCAAGGAAAAAAAACTAATTAATAATAATAACTTATTCTTGAGACACATGCGATGCAAGACAAGTATTTATTGCTAGGATCTCCTCAGGTAAGCTGTGCAGTAAGTCTGTGCTGTCCTACATGGTAGCCATTAGCCACATGTAGCAACTGAGCACATGAAGTGTGGCTAGTCCAAATACAAATGTGCTCTTAAGTGCAAGACACACATGAGATTTCAAAGACTTAGTACAAAAACAGTAAAATATCTCACTAATAATTTTTATGTTTATTACTTGTCAAAATCACAATATTTTGGATATGCTGTGTTAAATAAAATTTACTATTAGAATTAATTTCACCTGTTGTTTTTTACCTTTTTGATGTGACTACTAGAACTTTGTAAATTACACGGAGCTCGCTTTCTGTGGACATGTAGTCTCTCTCACAGAGAAATACATGTATATTTCTGCTGGACATGTAGTCTCTCTCACAGGTCATAAGGCACTGAGGTCACAGGCCATAGGTTGGGATGTTTCTCCTCCAGAGAGTAGCTCATTCTCACTTTAAATCATCCTAAAGAACACAGGTACTGGTAGGTAGGTGGGCCGCAAGCTGGATTGAGTGGGGAAACTTCCTGCTGTCTTTGAACCAGAACAAGAACAGAGTTGGGAGCCTGTATTTTGCATAGTGAAGGCACACTCAAGGGAGCCACCTATCTTGGGGAGTTATGCTGGCCCCCAAAACTCAGAGCGTGCTAAAGGTGAGGCAGAGAAGCCTCCTGTAGCAAGTGCATACAGGGAGGGGCGTGGGCCTCTGAAATCTGAAAGCACCATGTCTCATTTCCAGTTTTAAGTGTACCTGGAATTCTCTTCTGTTATCCCTAGGTCTTTAGTGGAGCCTGATTAAACATGAGGCTGAGGGCAGCTGTGGGAGCTGAGGGTGGATTCTGTGCCCACTCGTGGCCCCCCCACTGGCCATGGCTTCCTCCCCAGCAGGCCTCGACAGCAGTCTCTGGAGCCTCTGGCCCAGCTTGCTGCGGGTCGCTGCTGTTCTCTTTGTGTCTCTTAGCCTGTGACTTCAATGCAGTCATCTCATTTCTGGGAATCTATCCAATTCTCAATTGTGTAAAAAGCTTTATAAACAAAAAAAGTGCATTACAGTTTACTATCTTAACAAAATATTGGAAGCAGCAGAAACATTTAGCAGTAAAAACTATAAATTATAGACTATGTACTTTGTGCATCATTGGGAAGCCACTTAAGTGACTTTTATTAAAACTTATATTAACAAAGAAGACAATAGTGTCATAATAATTTATTTAAAAAGAATTAAAGGCCAGGCACAGTGGCTCATGCTGTAATCCCAGCACTTTGGGAGGCCGAGGCTGGCGGATCACTTGAGGTCATGGCAAAACCCCATCTCTACTAAAAATACAAAAATTAGCCAGGCGTGGTTGGTGGGTGCCTGTAATTCCAGCTACTTGGGAGGCTGAGGCACGAGAATCTCTTGAACCCGGCAGGCAGAGGTTGCAGTGAACAGAGATCACGCCACTTTACTCCATCCTGGGTGACAGAACTAGACTGTCTCAAAAATAAATAAATAAATAAATATAAGGAATTAAGGAACACACAATTATATATGCAATTGGTGACAATAAAATACAACCCCTCAAAAAGAACAAAAACAAAAACCTAAACAACAACAACCACCTAGGTATAAAGAAAAGACTAGAAAAAAATGTTTTAAAATGAAACCATAACTGTATTAGGGTTCTCCAGAGAAACAGAACTAAAACCTCTCTCTCTCTGTCTCTCTCTCTCTCTCATATAGATGAGAAGACACACTCAAAGGAGCTCATATAGGTGAGAGAGAGATTTTAAGGAATTGGCTCACACGATTGTGGAGATTGGCAAGTCCAAAATTTGCAGGGAAAACTGGCAGGCTTGGAGACAAAAGTTAATGTCACAGTTCAGGCCTAAGGGCAACCTGGAGGCAGAATTCCCTCTTCCTTGGGGGATGTCAGACCCACTCACATACGGGAGGGTAATTTGCTTTATTCAAAGTCCATCCATTTAAATGTTGATTTCATCTACAAAATACCTTAGTAGAAACATCTAGAATAATGTTTGACCAAATATTTGGGTACCATGGCTTAAGCATACTGACACATGAAATTAACCTTTGGCTGGGCACAGCAGCTCATCCCTGTAATCTCAGCACTTTGGGAGGTTTAGATGGGTGGATTGCTTGAGCCCAGGAGTTCAAGACCAGCCTGGGGAATATAGTGAGACTCTGTCCCTACAAAAAACAACGAGAAAAAATTAGCTAGGCATGGTGGCGAGTGCCTGTGGTCCCAGCTGCTCGGGAGGCTGAGGTGGGAGGATCTCTTGAGCCTGAGAAGTTGAGGCTGCAGTGAGCCGTGATTGTGCCACTGCACTCCAGCCCGAGTGACAGAGTAAGACCATGCCTCAAAAAATTAATTAATTCATTAAATTTAATAAATATTTTTAAAAATTAACTTTCACAATGATCTAAGGCTTACTACTTTAGGATTTGCTTTTGAAATACTTTTCTGTGTTTTCCAAAATACATAAAATAATAAAGATGTACTTATGATGGAAAAGGCCTGTGTAAACACATTTTAAAACACAGCCTCCTTGGGGTAGCCCCAGAGTCCCAGGGCTCTCCATGGCCCCTTGGACACCTTTCACAGCATTCCTCACCTCTGTCTTCTACCATTATTATGCATGTCTGAATATGTCTTCCTTTGCTAAACATCAAACAGAGTTTTAGGACTGGGATTCTAGAAAGTGAGAGAAGGCAGGCGCAGAGGAGGCAGTGGGAGCCTGCCTGAGGGCATTAACGTCAGTCCTGGGCTATGTGCTGGCTCCTCAGGACCGCCCTTCTGAGGGGCACAGACACGTGAGTGGAGGGAGCTCATGTTCCAGTTTCTTTGCAAAAATCAACTTGATAAAGTTTTTCCTGTTTTGTTAAAATTGCCTAAAATTTTTTAGCAATACTTCATTTGATTTTCTCTAATGGTTTCTGTCATTTCTTTGAGTTTTAATTTATTGCTCATGCTTTAACATCCCAGTTTATGTCTTGCTTAATTTAATGTCCATATAGTTGACCCTTGAGCAACATGGATTTGAACTGCATAGGTCCACTTAGGTCCACTTATGCATGGGTTATTTTCAATCAAATGCAGATCACAAACACAGTAATGGTGACATGTGAAACCCATGTATACAAAGGCCCAACTTTACATATATTTGGGACCCAAAGGGCTGACTGTGGGACTTGAATATGTGTAGGTTTTGGTATACACAGGAGTCTTGGAACCAATCCCCCTCATATACCAAGGGACTACTGTATATCTGCTTTGTTTATTTCTTTTTTTTTTTTTTGAGGTGGAGTCTCACTCTGTTGTCCAGGCTGGAGTGCAGTGGCGCCATCTCGGCTCACTGCAACCTCCGGCTCCCGGGTTCAAGTGATTCTCCTGCCTCAGACTCTCAAGCATCTGGGACTCCAGTCACCCGCCACGCCCAGCTAATTTTTTGTATTTTTAGTAGAGACGGGGATTCACCATGTCGGCCAGGTTGATCTCCAACTCCTGACCTCAAGTGATCCGCCAGCCTCAGCCTCCCAAAGTGCTGGGATTACAGTCGTGAGCCACGGTGGCCAGTCTCATTACCATTTGTTAAGAACTCATTTGGGCGGGCAACAGGTATACATCGCCTCATGAAAACTGAGTCACTCAGCCTGTGCTCCCACCTGGACAGAACACCATGCAGCCTCTGCTTAGAGATGCTCCACAGGAGCCAGTGTGGAAACACCAGGGCCAGGCATCCTTTAGAAAACCATTTTGGGATTGCTCCAGCTCATGAACCAGCAGTTAACTGAGTCACCAGCCATATCATAAAGCATGACTACAACTACGCAGGCCTGGTCCCTAACCCCATGTTGTTACAGCAAAATATAACCCATTCTTATTTCAGAAAAAGAAAAAAAGCTAGATGTGATGGCACATGCCTGTAGTCCTGGCTACTTGGGGGGCTGAGTCAGAGGATCAGTTGAGCCCAGGAGTTCAAGGTCACAGTCAGCTGATTGTACCACTGCACCCCAGCCTGGGCAACAGAGGGAGACCATCTCTAAATAAAATAAGACAAAAACAACAACAAAAAAAAAACAGAAGAAGAAAATATACCAAAATGTTAACAATGTCTTCTATCTTTATTTATTGGGGTTAGAAATTACTTTTGTTTTCTTATATTATGTATATTTTATTTCAAACCTGATAATTTTTTTTTCCTTTTTGAGACAGGATCTCGCTCTGTTGCCCAGGGTGGAGGGCAGTGGTGCGATCTCGGCTCATTGCAGCCTCAGCCTCCCAGGCTCAGGCAATCCTCCCACCTCAGCTCCCTGAGTAGCTGGGGCTACAAGAACACGCCACCATGCCTGGCTAATTTTGTTCGCTTTTTGTAGAGATGGAGATCTCACTACGTTGTCCAGGCTGGTTGCAAACTCCTGGACTCAAGCCCTCCTGCCTCGGCCTCCCAAAGTGCTGGGATTACAGGCGTGAGCCACCATGTCCAGCCAATGTTATTTAATTTATTTATTTTTATTTATTTATTTTTTTGAGACAGGGTCTCATTCTGTTGTCCAGACTAGAGTGCAGTGGTGCAATCATGGCTTATCGCAACCTCAACTTCCCTGGGCTGAGGTGATCCTCCTACCTTAGCCTCCCAAGCAGCTGGGACTACAGGTGTGAGCCACCACACTTGGCTAATTTTTGTATTTTTTGTAGAGATGGGGGTCTTACTATGTTGCTCAGGCTGGTCTTGAACTCCTGGACTCAAGTTATCCTCCCACCTCGGTGTCCCAAAGTGCTGGTATTACAGATGTGAGCCACCATGTCCAGCCTTATTTTTAAAAGAAGGAGAAAATTATTGAGCAAGAGAGTCTCTCTGCAGTTCTTAAGATTGCTGTCAGAACCACCTCAATACTCTTTCTGCAGTCTGTGCTTTGAGCAGCAATATAAAAATGCAGCATTTTATGAGCATTAATAGCAGGGAATGTAAATTAGCCTATTTGTTTTGGCTCTGCTTTGCTTCTGATCATTAGAGGCCAGCAAAAATAGAATGAGAACTGCAAACTCCCTCTTGTTCCCGGAAGATCTCTCCACAGCATGGCATATCAGTCAGATTTCTGGGCTGTCTCATCTCCGTCTCCGTAAGAAAGGATCTTGTTGGAAATACATTGAGGCATACACTGAAGCAGAGGCCCCAGTGCCACCTGGGCAGAGGCAAGCCAGAGAAAACAGAGGGAAATGAAAAGAAAGACTTCCTGGTATTCACTTCTACATACTGCCAGCTAAGCTGCGCTGGGTACCCAGAGCCCACCCACCACATCTACACCACAAATTCAACTGGGACTTCGGGCTTTTTTTTTTTTTTTTTGAGTCTGAGTTTCGCTCTTGGTTCCCAGGCTGGAGTACAGTGGCAGGATCTTGGCTCACCACAACCTCCGCCTCCTGGGTTCAAGTGATTCTCCTGCCTCAGCCTTCCTGAGTAGCTGGGATTACAGGCATGCACCACTACGGCTGGCTAAGTTTTTTGTTTTTTTTTTTTTAGTATAGACGGGGTTTCTCCATGTTGGTTAGGCTGGTCTTGAACTCCTAACCTCAGATGATCCGCCCACCTTGGCCTCCCAAAGTGCTGGGATTACAGGCCTGAGCCACTGTGCCTGGCCGGGCCTTCAGGCTTTATGTAGCTGATTGAACACAACCATCTCTGCTCCCAGCAGAAATCCCACCAAAATGTGATAAAGGGGTTTTAAAAGGCAAGGACTGACAAGAACAAAAGGCGGGGGGAGAGGAGAGAGAGAGAGAGAGAGAGAGAAACTGACTACACAATCTAAATAAATAGAGAATAATGATCTGGATAACAAATAGACAAAGGTCTTAGCAGATAAGAGAAATTTAAAGGTAAAATGTCAGTGGGAGAATCCCAGAAGCAGGCTGATTTCACATAGCAGAACCCCAGTAAGGAATGGAGAAACCAAGTATCCCAAACGTGAGTGTGCAAGAGGCCTGGAACCAGAGGCTGATGGTCTATGTAAGAAGCCACTAGAACCCTAGATCTCCTAACTCAACGCACATGGCAGAGTGACCCCCTATATTCCACCCTAATGAGTGGTTTGCTCGCTGGAGGCGTTGAACCATGCCACATCCTGGGAACCACAATGAAAATCATTTAAGGCTGGGCGTGATAGCTCATGCTTATAATCCTAGCACTTTGGGAGGCCAAGGCAGGAGGATCACTTGAGTCCAGGAATTCAAGACCAGCCTAGGCAACAGAGCAAGATCCCCAGCTCTACCAAAAAAAAAAAAATTACATATATATATATATAGCCTATGGCCTTCTGGCTTTATGTGGCCAGAAGAAAACAAAATAAAATAATTTAAAAAATAGAAAATAAGTAATAATAAAAGAAATAAAATAAGAGAAGCAATAAAAGAAAAGAAAAAGTCATTTAGGATTATGTAAAAGCCTGCCTATCGAACAGTAAGGCTTCCTGGTCCCCTCCATGAAGTTGGTTCTGAGAACTCCAGCAGCCAGACTTGCCCCAGGCCGATTAATAGAGAAACCTTCTCTGGAGAAACTGACCAGACAAGGAAAAACACCTAGGAACACAGGAGTAAGGGGGTTCTGACGGATATTAAGCTACTGTCACTTGACTTCAAAACCCTCTTCCACTCTCTCCTTCCCAGCTGGCTCCCTCTTAGGTGTAGAGGGAGGTGTCAGCACTGGAGGAAGAAGGGATCCCTTCCCTTGTTGGCCTCCCAATCCTGCCGGCATCACCACAGCCGAGGATCTTCAGCCCTGTAGCAACAGCTGGTCCAGCAGCAGTAGCAAGTCCCAAACTGTGGTTCTTCCTCACTCCCGGCAAAGGCCTCTTCCCGTGGCCTCAGTGATACCGGCTCACTGGCCAGGCTCCTCCTTAGGAAACTGAATTCTAGCTCCGTGGGGCCATCCTCCCAGATTCTCCCATTGAATAATACTGACCTCTTCCCTCAGTTCCCCAAGACTGAGGGAGAGGCAGTTGCCCCATTCCTGATTCCCACGCGTTCTACCTCTGCGGTATCTCAGTGCTCTTTTTGTCTTTTTAGATCTCAATATGTGGTTAACAATCCTTTATATAAAATTACCTCTGTCTGGGCGCGGAGGCTCACGCTTGCAATCCCAGCACTTTGGGAGGCCGAGGCAGGTGGATCACCTGAGGTCAGGAGTTTGAGACCAGCCTGGCCAATATGGTGAAACCCTGTCTCTACTAAAAATACAAAACTTAGCTGGGTGTGGTGGCAGGTGCCTGTAATCCCACTACTTGGGAGGCTGAGGCAGGAGAATCATTTGAACCCGGGAGACCGAGGTTGCAGTGAGCCGAGATTGTGCCACTGCACTCCAGCCTGGGCAACAGAGTGAAATTCCTTTTCAAATAGAATAAAATAAAACAAAATTACCTCTGTTTAAATATTTGGATTTTTTTCTTTCACCTGACTAGACCCTAATACAAGGGTCTTCTGGAGAAACAGTTCAGCCCATTTGCACTATGGTGAAGCCCACTGAAACCTCCCCCCATCCCCAACACACACACCTGGAGTTTCCAAACAGCTTAAGATCTAACTAAGCCAAGGATTACTGTATCATTCACAAAGCCCAAGCCCCAATTTGAGCAGAGAAAGTTTATTATTAGAAAGAATTATTGGCTGTAACAGGCTAAAAAGACGTGCAGAGAACTCCAAAGAATGCTGTAGGGCCGCGGGAGAGTACCCAAAGAAGGACACACGTGGAAGCATCCCCACCCCAAAGCTGGATTCAGAACTCAAGGCAGAAAGTGTGCATGTGCCCACCAGGTACCAGATTATTTCCCTGGGATGCCCAGGCCAAAGCCTGTGAACAGTCATGAGCAAGCAGGAAACTGGGGGGGTCGCGGCATCGGGAGCCCACTCACTGCATGCAAGGCCTGGGGCATGCAGGGTCCACGTCAGGGCCAGCTCGCTGGGGGAACGCATGCTGTCAGCACGCAGCTAGGACAGAGACCACCAGATGTTCCCACCTGGCCACTGATGGGCCCTGCCGCAGGAGCAACAAGAATCACAAACCATAGCTCCCGGAACCAGAGATAAAAGAAATTCTTTCCTCTGGCAGTGTCCCTCCGGCGCCCTCTACTGAGAAAGCTTAATATTGTGCTGGCTGCGAAGGAGAACCGCTTAATTCAATACAGATCAGTTAAGAGGATGGATTTACGGTTGAGAGGCAATACATTGATAAGAAACTAGTCATTATGGGATGAAAACCACTGACATGAAAGACAGGTATTGAAAACACAAGAATTAAGGAATATAAAGCCAGGCGCGGTGGCTCACGCCTGTAATCTCAGTGCCTTCGCAAGCCAAGCTGGGCGGATCGCTTGAGCCCAAGAGTTCAAGAACAGCCTGAGCAAAATGGCGAGATTCTGTGTCTACAAAAAGTACAAAAATTAGCCGGGCGCGGTGGCGTGCACCTGTAGTCTCAGCTGCTCAGGAGGCTGAGATGGGAGGATCACTTGAGTCCGGGAGGTCGAGGCTTCATTGAGCTGTGATTAAGCCATTGCCCTGGACCACAACAGAGAGACCCTGTCAAAAAAAAAAAAAAAAAAAAGAAGAAGAAGAAGAAGAAGAGGAAATTTAGAGAATGCAAAGAGCCAAATAATAAAATCCACTGCAATTAATATTTTCATAAACATAAGAGACGATATTTTCTCCATGGTAAAAGAACACATTATTAAATAAAAAATTTAAAGTTGAAGAAATCTTCTAAAAAGAAGCAAAGGGTAAAGAAATGTAGATGGGACCGGGCACAGTAGCTCAGGCCTGTAATCCCAGCACTTTGAGTTGCGGAAGTGGGTGGATCACTTGAGATTAGGAGTTCGAGACCAGCCTTACCAACATAGTGAAACCCCGTCTCTACTAAAAATACAAAAATTAGCCAGGCGTGGTGGCATACGCCTGTAATCCCAGCTACTTGGGAGGCTAAGGCAGGAGAATCGCTTGAACCCGAGAGAGGTGGAGATTGGAGTGAGCCGAGATAGTGCCACTACACTCCAACCTGGGTGACTCCATCTCAAAAGAAAAAAAAAAAGGAAAAGAAATGTAGATGGTATAGAAAATATATGAAAATTAGATCATCTGGATGAATAGGAGGATTTCTAGAAAGAATAGACAGAGGGAACAGAAGGGATGAAATTATCAAAGAAATAATTCAAGAACTTTTCTCAGAACTGAGAGATATGGTTCCAAAGTGAGATAGACCTCAAGTGTCTAACAGAAGTGTCTAACAAAAGGAATGAAATCCAAGGCATACTACCATAATTTTAAAAATACTGAGGACAAAAAGAAAAATCCCAAAATTGGACAAAAAGAAAAAAACAGGTCACATGAAAAAGATCAAAACTCAAATGGTATAGGGTTTTCTCTTTTTTTCTTTCTCTTTTCCTTTTTTTTTTTTTTTTTTTTTGAGACAGGATCTCACTCTGTCACCCAGGCTGGAGCGTAGTGATACAATCATGGATCACTGCAGCCTTGAACTCCTGGGCTCAAGGGATCGTCCCCTCTCAGCCTTCTGAAAACTACAGACACGTACCACCATGCCCAGCTAATTTTTAAATTTAATTTTATTTTTTGTAGAGACGAAATCTTACTACGTTGCCCAGGCTGGTCTTGAACTCCTGGGCTCAAGCAATCCTCCCACTTTGGCTTCCCAAAGTGCTGGTATTACAGGTGCGCACCATAACACCTAGCTGAGGACTTTTCAACAGTAGCACTGGAAGCTGGAAGATAGTGGAGCAGTGCTTTCCTAATTTAGGTGTAAATTTTACAACTTGGAATTTTATTTTCAGTAAAACTATTAATCAGATGTAATCATAATATAAAAGACATTTTCAGACAAAATTTCAAAAATTGCCCTCCCTTGCCCCTTTCCTTAGGAAGTTCCATCAAAGTAAGGGATTAGATCAGGAGAGATAAAGATGTGGGATCCTCCAAAGAGTGAGGAGAATGAAAATCCCAGGAGGTTGCTGTGTAGGAGAACTAGGGATCCGCAGGTCCAGATTAAAATGGTTTGGAGGCCGGGCATGGTGGCTCCTGCTTGTAATCCCAGCACTTTGTGAAGCCAAGGCGGGTGGATCACCTGAGGCTAGGAGTTTGAGACCAGCCCGGCCAACATAGTGAAACCCCGTCTCTACCAAAAACACACAAAAGAATTAGCTGGGCATGGTGGCACATGCCTGTAATTCCAACTACTCAAGAGGCGGAGGCAGAGAATTTCTTGAACCCAGAAGGCAGAAGTTGCAGTGAGCCAAGATTTCACCACTGCACTTCTGCCTGGGTGACAGAGTGGATCTCAAAAAGAAAAAAGAAAAAAAAAAAAGGCTTGGGGCCAAAACCTCAGGGATTAAGAAAATTCCTTTACCTGGTTACAGAAAGATATTACCAAGAAAAAGAGGGAATTGATTAATTGTAATACATTAGACTGCAGAGAAAAAATAGACTTCTATAGAATCTGCTGACAAATTTGTGATAAATTCATAGACAAATGATCAAAAGAAAACCTAGTAGATCTGTATAATTCTGGATATCATTCCATAAAGCCCAGCTTAGAACCTGTGCCCTCAGCCCTTATAAAGATTTCAAAAGCTCTTAATACCCTTTGTAAAATGTCTTCCTGTTAATTTACCTAGCGTAATCTCTAGTTGCTGCACTGAACCCTGACTGATATAACTTGTTATTAAGAAACAGGAAGATAAAAACTAATTGAGCATCGAAGTGCTTTTACTTCTAGGAAGAGAGAATTAGGGGTTGGTACCGGACTATAGCTTTTGTTCTGTCTTTGGCTTTTTAAATTACATATCTGTAATTTATATACACACACATATATATTTGGCTTTTAAAATTACATATCTGTATAAATCTGATAAAAATTTTAAATAGTTAAATAAAAACTTATTTAGGAGATAATATATTAGAATACTAAGATGAGTGCTGAGTTTAAAAAACAAAAAGGCCAGGAGCGGTGGCTCACACCTGTAATCCCAGCATTTTGGGAGGCCAAGGTGGGTGGATCACCTGAGGTCAGGAGTTTGAGACCAGCCTGACCAACATGGTGAAACCCTGTCTCTACTAAAAATACAAAAAAATCAGCTGGGGATGGTGGCAGGTGCCTGGGTAACAGAGTGAGACTCCGTCTAAAAATGAAAGTGGCATCTGATACAGAGAAGATTAGCATGGCCCCTGCTCAAGGATGACACACAAATTTGTGAAGGGTTCCATTTAAAAAAAAAAAAAAGTCTGAGCGAGGTGGCTCAGTCCTGTAATCCCAGCACTTCGGGAGGCCAAGGCGGGAGGATCACTTGAGGTCAGGGGTTCAAGTCCAGCCTGGCCAACATGGCGAAACTCCGTCTGTACTAAAGTACAGAAAAATTAGCTGGGCATGGTGGTGCATGCCTGTAGTCCCAGCCCCAGCTACTCCGGAGGCTGAGGCAGCAGAATTGCTTGAACTCAGGAGGCGGAGGTTGCAGTGAGCTGAGATCATGCCATTGCACTCCAGCCTGGGCAAGAAGAGCAAAATTCCATCTCAAAAAAAAAAAAAGGGCATCTGAATATATACAATTACAATGTCAATAAAAATAGATAAATGAATAAATACAGTTAGTCTTTTTTTTTTTAATGGCATCTGGACATTCCTACATTCTGGAAGATTTACAAATACATAGTGGGGATACCTCTCATAAATGTATAAGCCTCTCAGTTTTTCCTTCCAATGCATTGCAGATTGTCCTTATTTAGCCCTTTCCCCTGGGAACCTGAGACTGAGAGCAGTGCAAGCTATGCTTTTTTTGTAAACACAGCACCTCACATTTCTAGAAGACAACCCTAAGTAAACTTCAGGGCCCTACGTCGGTCACCATTCCATCTGCTCTTCTCTGCTCTGATTCTTCCTATCCCTCAGAAACCCAAGGCCTCCTTAGCCAAACGGAGCTGCTGTGGTCGCAAATAGCCTTGTGCCCCTGGGAACCTGTGAGATGCAATATGTCGTCAGTCTCCCTCAATCTTGGCCTGAGTCCAAGAGAAAGGCAGCTGCTCTGAGGTTCGAGACTCTCCAGTGACTCAGCTCTCTAATTCCCAGTACTCTGTGCATATGCCCTCCTCAATTCCATCTCCTAGACTTGCCAGATGTAGGTCGAGTCCTCAAAGATGAGATAACCAAGATGCAAAATCCTAAAATCCTCCATTAAGCACCTACCAGCTGCAGAGGCCCTGCTGGGGCCCTGAGGGAGATGTGTGTGGCAGACTGCAGGCCAAGTAAGTCCTTCTTTAAGGCTGGTGTCATGAGAATTACTCAATGCCGCCTCCTGCTGGGGAAGGACACTTCACCCCTTTTATGGAAGCCCAACGGGAAGGACTCATGGGACAGGGCAGGCTGCCCTGTCTCTTTTTTAGGCAGTCACTGCAATCACACATGCTCACTAATCCAGTTCACTAAGGTACGAAGCCACAATAAAGTTTGGAGCCAAAACTGTAGATATAAAGAGAGTTCCTTTATCTGGAATGGCCTCGATTTTTGAATAAGGAGTTTTTTGTTGTTGTTTTGTTTTGTTTTGTTTTGTTTTTGAGACAGAGTTTCACTCTTTTGCCCAGGCCGGAGTGAAGTGGCAAGATCTCTGCTCACTGCAGCCTCCGCCTCCCGGGTTCAAGCAATTCTCCTGCCTCAGCCTCCTGAGTAGCTGGGATTACAGGCGCCTGCCACCACACCTGGCTAATTTTTGTACTTTTAGTAGAGATGGGGTTTCGCCATGATGGCTAGGCTGGTCTCGAACTCCTGCCCTCACGTGATCCGCCGGCCTCGGCCTCCCAAAATGCTGGGATTACAGACGTGAGCCACCAAGCCCATCCATAAGGTTATATTTTTTAATGTCCTGCCTCCTCCTCTTTTTTTTTCTTCTCTTTTTGTTTTCAAATAACTAAAGATGCACAGAAAGTTGCAAAATTAGTACCGAGATGTCCTGTGCACTCTTCACGCAGCTTCCCCAGTGGTAAGCTCTTACATACTACAGTACATTATCAGAACAAGCAATTGATGCATATTTTCTCAATGCATTGCAGTAGGTGGATTTGGTACTTGAGACCCTCAACAATCTCTTTCCGCATATCATGACTAACAGTATAGGCTCATGGTTTTTAAAGGACTGCCCTTTGAAGGAACTGGATGGAATTTTGTTTGCAAAGAGCTGAGAATCACTGGAGAGGCAATAAATGGAAATGTTCCTGTAGATTGTCACTATAGAGAGCAGGGCTGATGGATGTCAAAGGATATCCAGGGATATAAGCCCTCAGCAGGGAGGAGAGCAAAAAGGCCAGTGTGGTTGGTTATTGGAGAAGTTATTTGGATAGTTTTTAATTAGAGACATCTCTTGCATGAATGGATTTCCTAATGAAATCAAATTTTGATTGTGGAAAGCATAATTAACATGTAGGAAACATCAGTATATTCTAGGACCTGAGAGTAAAGGATGAAGTCCCTTTTAGAGAGATACACTGTTCTCTTTTAGGAAGATGGGCATAGAAGTGCAGGAAGTCAACTAGACGTGTTAAAATATAAATTTTTGGCTGCTTGTAACAGAGACACAAATGCCACTGGTTTAAATTAGGTAGAAAATGTTTTCCCACCCTTGGATCCAAGCACATGAGGACCCTGCCCGGGCTCCATGATCTAGAGGGACCTGCTCTATCATTCCCCCAACTTATAGGACAAAAAGTCCGAGAAGCCAAAGGGATAGACCTACCCATGGAGGTTGCATCTCTTCTACAAGTACTACAGTCTAGGTACTTGGAACCCCTGAATTCCTGGCACTAATGGCCCCCAAGCCTGCTTCCAAGTTTGCATGGGCCTCCTCCTGGGGCCATCGTCCCAGGGGTTATGCCTCGCTGCTGTCGTGCATGCTCTGAGACCCCAAAATGTGGCTGTTTTCAGAGAAGGATATGGGTCTGGAGATTTTAGGGACTTGAATTTTCAGGAAAAGAAAGTAGGGCAGATGCAGGTAGAGGACCCAGAGCTAGTTTTCCTCACTCAGCCATATTCTGCCATGGAACCTAGGGGAGTCTCAGAATTCTAAATTCCAGCCTGGCTGTCCTAGCCTGGATTCCCCAGAAAACAGATTCTCAGATAGATTTATCTGCAGAAGTTTTATTGGGGAACAATCTTGGGACAAACACCTTTAAAAGCTGAGAGAAACGGGACAGGGAAAGGGAGCAGTTGAACTGTAATGAAGCCGTAAAGAGTACTGAGCTGATCTCATGGGTTGTGGAGGCCTCTGGCACTGGAAAAGTCCTTTAAATTTGGCCAAACTCGGCCGGGCGCGGTGACTCACGCCTGTAATCCCAGCACTTTGGGAGGCCGAGTGGGGGAGGATTATCTGAGGTCAGCAGTTCAAGACCAGCCTAGTTAACATGGTGAAACCCCGTTTCTACTAAAAATACAAAAAATTAGCCGGGCATGGTGGCATGCGCCTGTAATCCCAGCTACTCAGGAGGCTGAGGCTGGAGAATCACTTGAACCCAGGAGGCGGAGGTTGCAGTGAGCAGAGATTGTGCCATTGCACTCCAGCTCGGGCAACAAGAGCGAAAGTCCATCTCAAACAAACAAACAAACAAACAAACAAAAAGGTGGCCAAACTTGAAGCAAGGTAACCAGGACTTTGTATGTTCTTATCTTATCTATCAGTCATTGGATGTGGCTGCCCCCAGGGAGGGGAGGTGTAACCTTGGGCAAGACAGCTCTTTTCAGCTAAGGGCAATTCCCAGAGACAGAGCTGTCACAACCAACACCCCTGGCAGCTGGGGAATAAGTGACAATGTTGAAGGTAGGATTTGGGTGGCACACAACAGTATCTGCTACACTAGCCTTCAAGATCAGTATGAAGGTATATTTATCAAGACAAAAGCTGGAACATGTTTTATTCAATAATTTATTTGTTTGACTTATAACAATAAACCATCTCTAACACACATTTCCCTTCCTGATATCAGACAGCTGCTCTGAGGGATACCCGAGACCCACATTCAGGAAGTAAGATAGATATCAGCCTGGACTGCTGAATAGATGCCCTGTGATTTATCTTCAGACATGACTCAGTGGAAATGCAGTTGACTCCATTCTAAAACCTCTCTTGAGAATATTTCCAGGCCCAGTCAACTTATCTTGGTCTCACTATAAGGAAAGGAACTGAGATCAGCTGCACCCTGAGAGGCTAAGATCCTGATAGGGAGCAGGTGAAATCAGGTTGGAAAATAGACAAGACAAAGGCAGGCAGATGTAAGAGGTATTCAAAAGCCCAGTTGTGCTCTATTTTTGCCTTCCACGAGGAATCTTACGGGGAGCTTCCACATTACCCGGTTATTGGTCACGGCGGTGAGTTAAGGCTGTTTTATTGAATGAAATCATCAACCCCCCTCCTTTTCCTGCTAAAACGCAATCTGTTTCCAAGACTTTCCTAATGTAGAGTGATTTTATTGAGCCTAGACCATGGATTTCCCATCTGATAACTCTTTAAGAGGGATGAGATAGAACATAATGTGAGAAAATAACATTGTTCCAAGATTTGTAAATGCTAATAATTGTTGAAGTCCCATGGTAGGTAAATAGAGGTATTTTCTTTATTTTTGTGTAAGTTTGAAAATTTCCATAATAAAAAGTGTTATAAATTGTCTTAGCAGGTCACATAACTAATAATAAAGGTAAAATTTTTGTTGGTCTTAATGAGAGAGAATTTGGAAAGTGGAGATAAGCGGGGCTTTGGAGCTCCTAAACTATTCGGGCTGTGTTTTGACTCAGCGAGCTCAAAGTGGGAGGGCAGGAGAGCTCGCTTTTTAAAAGATCGACAGCGCCATCTACCGGTAAGAGCGCCCAACTCCCTTGCTAAGGATGATATCATTATGCTAGGGTGATAGTAGCAAGCCTCATTGTTAGTCACCTAAGAAGTTAAGACAATAAGAAATCATTCAAAAAATAAAATGGTGGCAGGACGAGGTGGCTCACGCCTGTAATCCCAGCATTTTGGGAGGCCGAGAGGGGAGGATCGCTTGAGCCCAGGAGTTTGAGACCAGCCTGGGCAACATAGTGAGGTCCAAATCGCTACCAAAAAAAAAAAAGAGAAAAAAAAAAAGAAAGGCGTTAAAATTAATTTAAAGATACACAATAATGAAAATATTACAAAGTACTATTATTCAGCCATAAAAAAGAAATTACATTCTATTTATTTATTTTATTTTATTTTATTTTGCAGACAGAGTCTTGCTCTGTCACCCAGGCTGGAGCGCAGTGGCGCAATCTTGGCTCACTGCAACGTCCGCCTCCCCGGTTCAAGGGTTTCTCCTGTCTCAGCCTCCTGAGTAGCTGGGATTACAGGCACGCGCCATCACGCCCAGCTAATTTTTGTATTTTTTTTAGTAGAGACGGGGTTTCACCATGCTGGCCAGGCGGGTCTCCAACTCCTGACCTCAGGTGATCTGCCAGCCTCGGCCTCCCAAAGTGCTGGGATTACAGGCATGAGCCACCGCGCCCAGCAGAAATTACATTCTGATACATGCTACAACATGGATGAACATTGAAAAAATTATGTAAAATGAAATAAGCCAGACACAAAAGGACAAATATTGTATGATTTCACTTACGTTAGATATTTAAAATGGGGAAATCTGGTTTGCCAGCACAGCAGGAAAAAAAATAAATAAAAGTAAAATACAAAAATCATAGAGGTGAAAAGTCAATTTGGCCAGGTGCCGTGGCTCATGCCTGTAATCCCAGCACTCTGAGAGGCTGAGGCAGGAGAACTGTTTGAGGCCAAGAGTTCGAGACCAACCTGGGCAACATGGTGAGACACCCACCCCCACCACCTCTAAAAAAAAAAAAAAGAAAAGAAAATAAGTCGATTAGAGGTTACCAGGGGCTGGGCGGAAAGGAGAATGGGGAGTTATTGCTTAATGGGTAATGAGTTTCTGTTTGGAGTAATGAAAAAAATTTGGAAACAGATAGTGGTTGACAGCTGCACAACAACGTCAAATGTAATTAATGCCAATGAATTATACATTTAAAATGGTTAGGCTGGGTGCAGTGGCTCAGGCCTGTAATCCCAGCACTTTGGGAGGCCGAGGTGGGAGGATCACCTGAGGTCAGGAGTTCAAGACCAGCCTGGCCAACATGGTGAAACCCCATCTGTACTAAAAATACAAAAATTAGCCAGGCATAGTGGCAGGCACCTGTAATCCCAGCTACTCAGGAGTCTGAGGCAGGAGAATTGCTTGAACCTAGGAGGTGGAGGTTGCAGTGAGCCGAGATCGTGCCACTGTACTCAAGCGTGGGCAACAGAACGAGACTCCGTCTTGAGAAAATAAAATAAAATAAAATAAAATAAAATGGTTAAATGGGAAATCTTACCTTATATACATTTTCATATATATAACATACACACACACACACACACACACACACATATATATACACACACACCACACACACATACAAGTATGAGCCACCACACCTGGCTAAATTGACTTTTCACCTCTATGATTTTCCTATTTTATTTTTATTTATTTTTTTCCCTGCTGTGCTGACAAACCAGATTTCCCCATTTTAAATATCTGATGTAAGTGAAATCATGCAATATTTGTCCTTTTGTTTCTGGCTCATTTCATTTTGCATAATTTTTTTTCAATATTCATCCATGTTGTAGCATGTATCAGAATGTAATTCCTCGTTTATAGCTGAATTATATATATGTTTATTTTTACCACAGTAAAAGAAATTTTAGGCCAGGCATGGTGGCTCATGCCTATAATCCCAGCACTTTGGGAGGCCAAGGCAGGTGGATCACTTGAGCTCAGGAGTTTGAGACCAACCTGGGCAACATGGCGAAACCCTGTCTGTACTAAAAATACAAAAATTAGCCGGGCGTGTTGGTGCACGTATCCATTTCAGCTACTTGGGAGGCTGAGGTGGGAGGATAGTTTGAGCCAGCGAAGTCCAGGCTGCAGTGAGCTGTGATTGTGCCACTGCACTCCAGCCTGGGTGATAGAGCCAGACCTTGTCTCATAATAATAATAATAATGATTAATTAATTTAATTAATTATTTTTTTAAATTTTTTATTTTTTGAGGCGCAGTTTCAGTCTTGTTGCCCAGGCTGGAGTACAATGGCATGATCTCGGCTCACCACAACCTCCGCCTCCCAGGTTCAAGTGGTTGTCCTGCCTCAGCCTCCCTAGTAGCTGGTATTACAGGCATGTGTCACCACACCCGGCTAATTTTTGTATTTTTAGTAGAGACAGGGTTTCTCCAGGTTGGTCAGGCTGGTCTCGAACTCCTGACCTCTGGTGATCTGCCCACCTCGGCCTCCCAAAGTGCTGGGATTACAGGTGTGAGCCACTGCACCTGGCTAAAAAAAGAAATTTGTAATGAAATTGACTTCAAAATAATTTAAAAGTTAAGAAAAAAACCACATTACACAAATATGATATAAACTTAAAAGAATGACATAAAAAAAAACACACAAGAGCAAAAAAGGACGCAATGAAATATGGAAACTAGTGAATGGAAACAGTGAAATGACAAAATAACTAAATAAACTAGTAGCAAGATACCTGAAAGGAAAAGTTGACTGCCAATCAAAATACGTTGCTGGGTGACCAAGAAATCAAAGTTAAGAGAGGTAGATATTTTAGGAGTATTTCATCCAGGTCATAGTAAAACCCAGTCCAGGAATAAAACATTGTATGTATCTATACCAGCCTTGTTTTAAACAAAATCTAAAATAGCTTAAACACAATACAACAGAATTAAAAATTACAACTAAGGCTGAGCCTGGTGGTGCCTGCCTGTAACCCCACCTACTCTGGAGGCTGAGGCAGGAGGATTGCTTGAGGCCAGGAGTTTGAGACTGCCCAGCCTGGACAACATAGCCAGATCTCATCTCTAAAAAAGCAATAAAATGAATTAGCCAGGCTGTTGGGGCACATGCCTATAGTCCTAGCTACTTCCTCAGAAGGCTGAGGCTGGAGGATCACTTGAGCCCAGGAGTTTGAAGCTGCAGTGAGCTATGAGTGAGACCCCAAAATCTCTAAGAAAAAGAAAGAAAAATACGAAGGCAAGTAAAGAGTTAGAAAAATCAGATAAAACCAGTAAGATTAGTATAAACATCATGCTGTGCTGGGGGTGGGGGTCGCAGGTTTGGAACTGAGCTCTCTAGAAGCCAATTCAAAGAGGGAAACACAATCATCACATGGCTTCCAGTGTCCAAAGTCTCAGAAGTAGTGAGACAGCCAGGTGGGAGGGGTTCCCTGGAGAAATGCCAACCAGCCTGCCCACTGAGGTGGAGCCTCAGGAAGTTTGTGCCCTTTGCAGCGGGGAGCAGCCTGGCCCCTCTTCTTAGTGTGTGGATCCTGGGATTTGAATGGCGGGTGGGAAGCGCTCTAGTAGGGACTCTGGCCTAGCGACAGTCCCTGTTTCTCCGTTTTCTTCCTTTTCATCCAATAAAACCCATCTCATTCACCATTCAGATTGTCTGCGAGCCTGAATTTTCGTGGCTGTGGGACAAAGAACCCGTCTTTAGCTGAACTAAGGAAAAGTCCCGCAATAGTAACACAACTAATCCTTTCCCTGAGACCAGGAAGCAGTTTTCTTCTGGTCTCCCTTGACCAGAAGGGGTGTGATAAAGTGAACAACGTCTCAACCACACCACTACCATAAATACAAGTTTTCATAGGATTTATTCATTTCTTCGGTGTTCCTGTTACAGCTGGTGGCACCATGTTCCGGCAGAATCAGTCAGATCAGTGCAGTCCCATGCTGTGTGTCCATGCCACTGGTCTGGCTTAATTCAGGGATGAATTCTAGTGTACATGAAACAGACGGCACACATATTCTTCCATCAAACTGACAGAAGAAGTCTCTCTCCACCCATCTTTTGATATGTAGAGCATGACTGTGAGTTCAGTGTTATTATACACTTGATGTCACAGCCATTTTGAAGCTGCTGATTAAAAGTAGGTTATGGCTGGGCGTGGTGGCTCATGCCTGCAATCTCTTAGGGAGGCTGAGGTGGGAGAATCACTTGAGCCCAGGAGATCAGCCTGGGTAACATACCAGACCCTGTCTCTATTAAAGAAAATTAAGAAAATAAAATTAAAATAGGTTACAACAGAATACTCATGGCCAGAACATACCTGTCTTCATGTTCCCCTGCAGGGAACAATGACTAAACAGCTCATGATTCTTGTCCCTTGAGCCCCGCTTTTCTAGATTCCATAAAGGCCACCCTCTTCTGCATCCACATTCTTTCTTCAGTTGGCGCCTAGTACCATGGATTTGATTTTTGCTTCCTTAGGTCTAGTCTTTATCCATGCATACTTCCCCTTGGCTCCCTTTGATTGGATTTATTTACTCCCCAATTTCCTTAGCACCATCTACAGTGTCTTTTCCAGTTAGTGCCTCTCATTCACTGTGCACAGACTCCCCACAACTTTCATTCGTAGGTGATTAACTTTCATGTAATGTCCTAGGAAACCCTTTACTAGCTGTGTGACTTTAGGCAAATTACTTAACCTCTCTGAGCCATATTTTCATCATTTATAAAGCTCATAATGCCTACCTTGGAAGGATGTTTGGAATTAAAGTAAGTTAGAGGCTGGGTGCAGTGGCTCACACCTGTAATCCTAGCACTTTTGGAGGCCAAGGTGGTCAGATCACCTGAGATCAGGAGTTCTAGACCAGCCTGGTCAACATGGTGAGACCCCCGTCTCTTCTAAAAATACAAAAATTAGGCTGGGCACGGTGGCTTACACCTGTAATCCCAACATTTTGGGAGGCTGAGGTGGGCTGATCACCTGAAGTCAGGAGTTCAAGACCAGCCTGGCCAGCATGGTGAAACCCCATCTCTACCAAAAATACAAAAATTAGTTGGGCATGATGGCGGGTGCCTGTAATCCCAGCTATGCAGGAGTCTGAGGCAGGAGAATCGCTTGAACTTGGGAGGCGTATGTTGCAGTGAGCCGAGATCGCACCACTGCACTCTAGACTAGGTGACAGAGCGAGTCTCAAAAAAAAAAAAAAAAAAAAAATTAGCCGGGGGCGTATTCCCAGCTACTCAGGAGGCTAAGGCAGGAGAATCCTTTGAAGCCAGCAGGTGGAGGTTGCAGTCAGCCAAGATCGTGCCACTGCACTCCAGCCTGGGGGACAGAGTGACACTCTGTCACTCAAAAAATAACATAAAATAAATTATAATAATAATGGTAACAACAGCAAATTGTTATTGAGTTCTTATCGTGCCAGACACGATGCTAAGAATTTCGTATACAAATATTTGGTTGAGTCATCTCAACAAGCCTATCACATGGGAACTCTGACTATCCCCACTTTACAGATAAGGAAGATGAGGCTTAGAGAGCTTAGTGCTGGGCCCATTAGTTACAGTAGTTATAATTATTCAATGTCCTTCAATGTCATGAGAAAGTCACCATCAGCCTGGGAGTTCAGTGGGAGGGTCAGGAAAGACTTGAACAATGAGTTGTTTGCAGATGAATGGGCTTTTGTGTTTGTTTTGTTTTTATTATAAACCCAGTACTATACAGGTCTTTGTAAAAGTACAAAGTACAAAGTTGAAAAGTCCTGAAAAGCTTCTACCACCAAGGAATAACCGCCGAAATAATATCTCATCAGAACTTTCTCCATGAATACACTTTTTAAAAATTATCACCAGCAGTTTCATGGAACACGAATACTCTGTTTAAAAAAGAGATAAGCTTTTATGTCTATATTACTTTATTTTTTCTGAGTACTATTTTTTCCCCTGATTTTCACCGAAAGGGTTGCTCTCTATGTTGTTGTTTCAGCCCTTCCAGTAGTTTAAAACATGCATCTTTAGTTCTAGTCTAATTCATGATTTCCCTTACATCTATTTAAAGTTATAATTTTATTTAGCATCAAAGGTTATTCAGTAGCTTTAGTCTTTCCCCTGAACCAAACACATTTATTTATTTATTTATTTATTTATTTATTTTTGGAATTGGAGTCTCACTCTGTCACCCAGGCTGGAGTGCAGTAGTGCGATCTCAGCTCACTGCAACCTCTGCCTCTGGGGTTCAAGTGATTCTCGTGCCTCAGCTTTCCGAGTAGCTAGGATTACAGTTGCCCGCCACTACGCCCAGCTAATTTTTATATTTTTAGTAGAGATGGGGTTTTGCCATATTGACCAGGCTGGTCTTGAATTCCTGATCTCAAGTGATCCGCCCGCCTCGGCCTCCCAAAGTGCTGGGATTACAGCCATGAGCCACTGCGTCTGGCCACCAAATACATTTTAACTTCTTTCCTCTTTCCATTCCTCTTACTGTACCCTTCTAGGATTCCCTGGGTTTTGTTAAAAGCTTCTGGAACTGGAATGTAGCAAATGAATGTTCCATTTAACAGGCAGAGAAAGAGGAGGTGGGCAAATCACAGAACCAAAGTGCAGAGTGGTGAAGAGCTCCAGTTGCATGCAGGGTGGGGTGGCTGCCAGGGCCCTGGTGCCTTCAGTCATTAGTTCTGCAAATGTTCATGAGTTCCACCAGTGGTGTCTGCCCAGCAGAGAGCAGGAGCAGGGGTGAGGGTGAGGACAAGAGACAGACAGAGCCTGGAGGGGCAGTCAGCTGCACAGGAACGACCTTCTGTGCAAGCTGCAGGCTCTGCACCCAGCCAGTACCTGAGCAGGGTAGAGGTCTGATGAACTGACTTATAGGATGGGCTGGAGGACGCAGAGCCTGTGGGTATGAGGCCAGTTAGGAGAGTGCTGTCACCACCCAGGCAGGAGGCCATGAACATCCCCATATGAGAAAGAAGGGCATAAACAGGAAACAAATTTAACAATTAAATAAAAGCACCTCCCTCATGCAGGAAACTCGCCCTGTGCCAGGCCCTGCAGAACCATCTGCAGAGTCATTTCCTCTCTTGGCAACTTGGCAGCCCCTAGCAAACACAATGCATCTTGGCTTGCCATCAGTGCAACCCTTGTTCTTCAGATACAGGTAAAATGCCAAATCCCTAAGAAGGCCTAGAAGGCTCTGCAGTGTCAGCACCAGCACCCCCACCCCTTGGCCCCTCTCTGTGGTCACTTTCTTGGGTCCTGCAGATGCTCCAGGCTCCACTCAAATTCTATTGGATTAAGGCTCACCCTAATGACCTCATTTTAACTTGATGACCTCTATAAAGACCCTATTTCCTAATCAGATCACATTCTGAGGTACCAGGGATTAAGATTTCAGCGTATCTTTTGGGGGTGGGGGACACATGGTCACATCCTGAATGACTATAGCTCAAACAGGTCTTTGTTAGGTGAAAATAACAGGTGGAAAAATCACTGAGCACTTCACCTTATCTCAAACTTATGACTTCAAAATCTCTACAGTGGACTGGTTTCCCAGCTGACCTCACCTTACGTGGAGTGTTGCCCAATTCACACTCTCCAGCCTTCCCCACACTGACTTTAACTTCCACATATTCCTTCACTTCATTCCTGCATAAACCTGGGTATGGTCCCTTCATTGTCTCTCAGTGATGTGGAAAGTTTTCATGATGAGTCTACCCTGCTCTCTCTAATGCAAGTAGGATACAACAAACAGCATGTTAAGTTAGCAAATTTGACATTAACGTCTATCTTAAAAAGTGGCCAACTATGGGCCAGGCACAGTGGATCACACTTGTAATCCCAGCATTTTGGGAGGCTGAGATGGGCAGATGGCTTCAGCCCAGGAGTTTGAGACCAGCCTGGGCAACATGGCGAAACCCTGTCTCTATTTAAAAAAAAAAAAAAAAAAATTAGCCAGGCATGGTGGTGCACTTGTAGTCCTAGCTACTTGGGAGGCTGAGGTGGGAGGATTGCTTGAGCCTGGGAGGTTGAGGTTGCACTAAGCCAAGATGGCACCACTGCACTCCAGCCTGGCAACACAGCAAGACTCTGTCTCAAACTAACAAACAAACAAACAAAAAAGTGGCCAACAGAGGAGGTAGTAGTTTTGTCACTAGCTGTCATGTGGAACCCCAGGACCTAGCCTTTGGTTTCAAATACTGTTTTTCATTTATAGAAACTAGGACCCCTTAGAATGCAAGGCTTAGGTGACAACTGATTCCATGTCTCAGAGAAGGAAAGAATCAGGACAGGACTTGAATGTTCTGTTGTTGCCATAGAGCAAGGATGACTTCAAGAATGTGAAGGACAGGCTGGGCACGTGGCTCATGCCTGTAATCCCAGCACTTTGGGAGGCCAAGACGGACAGATCACTTGAGCAGAGGGGTTCAAGACCAGCCTGGGCAACGTGGCGAAACCCCATCTCTACAAAAAATACAAAAAGTAGCTGGGCATGGTGATGCATGCCTGTAGTCCCAGCTATGTGGGAGGCTGAAATGGGAGGATCATCTGATGCTGGGAAGGTCAAGACTGCAGTGAGCTGTGACTGTGCCACTCCAACCTGGGCAACAGTGAGACCCTGTCGCAAAAAAGAAAGAAAAGAAAGAAAGAGAGAGAGAGAGAAGGAAGGAAGGAAAGAAGGAAGGAAGGAGGGAAGGAAGGAAGGAAAGTAAGTCAAGGACAGTGCTTAAAAAGACAAAGGAGCCAATTTCAAAGAGCTCCCATTGTTCAAGTTGACAGTCGGGCATGAAAGAAAGAAGATGGGGGGAGGAATGATAATTATGGTTAATTGAAGTAAATTGAATCTGTGGCAGGCCATGAAATCACGATAATAACAGATAAAAATTCACATAAAGGGCACAAAAGATGACTGTAATAGAGAAGAATTGAGTTTTAAAATTTTATTTTAATAAAAAGGGAACTATTCATTTTGTCTCTTCTATTAATTATGTGTCTGTTTATAAAGCAAAGATAGGTGCTTGCTTTTGTCTGTGTAAGCAGAAAACCCACAGAGAATGCTGAGAAAGCCAAGTAGCCCTGTTATAGTAGGCAGCTAGTCAGGCACGAGCAGAGCAGGAGAGGGCTTCCTACCACACACACCCACCAGGAATGCCAGGCGAGCATCAGGTGATGGCCAGGCGGTTATTAACTGTTTCTCTAAAATAATAACTGGTAGCAGCTGGCGCCAGGGACAGGCAGATCCCAATAGATAGAAAAAACCTGAAACTGGTGATCAGCAGCTTCCTGATAAGATCTCAGGAGTTGGGCGAGTGGACTCAAGCATGCTCACTAAGAGGCAAAACTGTGGAGTTTAACTGGTGTATGTCCTTCCTCTACGAATTTTAGACTGGCAAGGGAAGAACGCCTCAAGTGAGCATGCGTACAACTCCAGTAAACACACTGTGCATGCCGCCCTTTCCAAGGGCTAGCAGACCACTGCACATATGGACAGCCCAGCCCAAGGGAAGAATCAAGGGAGAAGGAACACCAAGACCCCCGAAGCATGCAATGTATAAAACCTCAAGTCAGGCCGGGTGCAGTGGCACACCTGTAATCCCAGCACTTTGGGAGGCCAAGGTGGGCAGATCACCTGAGATTAGGAGTTTGAGATCAGCCTGGCCAACATGGTGAAACCCCGTCTCTACTAAAAATACAAAAATTAGCCAGGCTTGGTGGTGCACACCTGTAATCCCAGCTACTTGGGAGGCTGAGGCAGGAGAATCGCTTGAACCCGGGAGGCGGAGGTTGCAGTGAGCCAAGATTGCACCACTGTACTCCAGCCTGGGTGACAGGGAGAGACTCCATCTCAAAAAAAAAAAAAACAAAAAACAAACAAAAAAAGACCCAAGTCAAAAGATCAAACCACATACTTGATCTCTAAAGTCGTCCACTTGGCCCTCTTCCAAATGTACTTTCCTTCCTGCTCTAAAGCCTTTTAATAAACTTTCACTCCTGCTCTAAAACTTGCCTCGTTGTCTCCTGCCTTATGCCCCTCAGTCAAATTCTTTCTTCTGAGGAGGTAAGAATTGAGGTTGCTGCAGACACCTACGGATTCACCGCCAGTAACAGCCCTGCTGTAAGTATGAATGTTAGCAGAAATAAGAACGTCTGACATGAGATGATGTCAGAGGCAATAATGAAAGAGAAGGGAGTTTCAATAGTAGGTACCAAGACAATAAATTAACCAAAAATATCACTAAAAAGAAGAGCTAACCAAGTCAACCCAATTCTTCATCTTCTAGAATATTGAATATTTAAATTGCCCTACTAGTTATAATAAAATACAAATAAGATATGCATAAGATTTAATACTGCTAACAGATCAAGTCAGTATATCATAATGAGAGAAAAATTCATTATGTAATAATGGTCAAGAGATTATTGAAGTGTGTTATATTAGGGGGAGAAAATATGTTGTGAGATTCTTGTTTGTTTTTTTGTTTTTGTTTTTTGATACGAAGTCTCGCTCTGTCACCCAGGTTGGAGTGCAATGGAGTGATCTCGGCTCACTGCAACCTCCGCCTCCTGGGTTCAAGCGATTCTCATGCCTCAACCTTCCGACTAGCTGGGATTACAGGCATGTGCCACCACGCCCGGCTAATTTTTGTTTTTTCAGTAGAGACAGGGTTTTGCCATGTTGGCCGGACTGGTCTTGAACTCCTGACCTCAGGTGATCCATTCTCCTCAGCCTACCAAAGTGCTGGGATTACAGGTGTGAGCCACCGTGCTTGGCCCGCAAAATTCTAAAATTTATGTAAAAGATGTGTACCTAACTAAAAGCAGTTATATTCCTCAGTGAGATATAATTTCACACCCACTAGGCTGGCTATAGTAAAAAGAGAGATAATAAGTGTTGGCAAGGGTGTGGAAAAATTGGCACTCTCATGCACAGCTGTTGGACAGTGAAATGGTACAGCACTTTGGAAAATAGTCTGACCATTCCTCCAAAGGTTGAACATGGAGTTACTGTATGACTCAGCAATCCTACTTCTAGGTTTATAGCCCAGAAAAATGAAAATCTATGTCTACACAAGAACTTGTTCACAAATGTTCATAGCAGCATTATTCATAATAGCCAAACAACAACGACAACAACAACAACAATAAAAAATGGAAATGGCCTAAATGTCCCTCAACGGATGAATGGAAAATAAAATGTGATATATACAGCCATACGCTAGAATAAAAATGAATTTGAAAATAAAAAGAAATAAAGTACTGATATGTGCTACAACATGGATGAACCTTGAACACATTGTGCTAAATGAAAGAAGCCAGTCAAAACGACACCATGTTGTATTATTCCATTTATATGAAATGTACAGAATAGGTAAGTCCTTAGAGACAAAAAGTAGATGAGTGGCTGCTTAGGGCTGGGGTGGAGTAGGGGAGGGTTAGGAGATTGGGAGTGACTGCTCATGGGTTTGGGCTTTCTTTTGGGGTTGATGAAAATGTTCTGAAATTGATTATGGTGTTGGTTTTGTAACTCCATGAGTATACTAAAAACTACTCCCTGGTTTTGTACATTTATTTATTTTTATTTCATTTTATTATTATTTATTTATTTATTTATTTATTTATTTTGAGACAGAGTTTCTCTCTTGTCGCCCAGGCTGGAGTGCAATGGCACAATCTTGGCTCACCGCAACCTTCCGCCTCCTGGCTTCAAGCAATTCTCCTGCCTCAGCCTCCCAAGTAGCTGGGACTATAGGCATGCACCACCACGCCCGGCTAATTTTGTATTTTTAGTAGAGATGGGGTTTCTGCATGTTGGTCAGACTGGTCTTGAACTCCCAACCTCAGGTGATCCGCCTGCCTCAGCCTCCCAAAGTGCTGGGATTACAGGAGTGAGCCACCACGCCCGGCCTCATTTTATTATTTTATTAATGATTTTTTAATTTTGTGTGTACGTTGTAGGTATATATGTTTATGGGGTACATGAGATATTTTGGTGCAGGCATGCAGTGTGTCATAATCACATCATGGAAAATTGGGTATCCATCCTTTCAAGTATTTATCCTTTGTGTTACAAACAATGCAATTATACTCTTGTAGTTATTTTTAAATGTACAATTAAGTTATTATCAGCTGGGCGCAGTGGCTCATGCCTATACTCCTAACACTTTGAGAGGCCGAGGCGGGCGGATCACCTGAGGTCCGGAGTTTGAGACTAGCCTGGCCAACATGGTGAAACCCCATCATTCCAAAAAATACAAAAATTAGCCAGGGGTGTTGGTGCATGCCTGTAATCCCAGCTACCCGGGAGGCTGAGGCAGGAGAATCACTGGAGCCCAGGAGGTGGAGGCTGCAGTAAGCTGAGAAGGTGCCACTATACTCCAGCCTGGGCAACAGAGGGAGATTCCATCCGAAAAAAAAGAAAAAAAAAGTTATTATTGACTGTAGTCCTCCTGTTGTGCTATCAAATACCAGGTCTTATTCATGCTTTCTAACTATTTTTTTTGTCCCATTAACCATCCCCACGTGTCCCCCATAGCTCTACTCTTCCCAGCCTTTGGTAACCATCCTTCTACTGTCTCTGTCCATGAGTTCAATTGTTTTGATTTTAGATCCCACAAATAAGTGAGAACATGTGATGTTTGTCTTTCTATGCCTGGCTTATTTCATCTAACATAATGACCTCCAATTCCATCCATATTGTTGCAAATGACAAGATACCATTCTTTTTATGGCTGAATAGTACTCCATTATGTATATGTACATTTTCTTTATCCATTCATCTGTTGATGGACACTTTAGTTGCTTCCAAATCTTGGCTATTATGAACAGTGCTGCAGTAAACTATAGTTATTATTTTCTATTGGTTCATCATTTAGTCTTTCTACTTTAAGACAGGAGTAGTTTACCTACCACCATTAAATTATTATACTATTCTGTGTTTTTCTGTATACTTGCTATTACCAGTGAGTTTTGTAATGAGATTTATTCTCATTCATTAACATCCTTTTCTTTCAGATTAAAGAGCTCCCTTTAGCATTTCTTGTCAGACAGGTCTGGTGTTGATGAAATCCCTCAGCTTTTGTTTGTCTGGAAAAGTCTTTATTTCTCCTTTATGCTTGAAGGATATTTTCACTGGATATACTATTGTAGGGTAAAAGTTTTTTTCCTTCAGCACTTGAAATATGTCATGCCACTGTCTCCTGGCCTGTAAGGCTTCCACTGAAAAATCTGCTGCCAGACTTATTGACGCTTTGGGAGTTTGATCATTAAATGCCTTGAGGTAGTCTTTGAGTTTAATCTGCCTGGCATTCTATAACCTTCTTTTATTTGAATGTTGATATCTTTCCATAGGTTTGGGAAATTCTGTTATTTCTCTGAATAAACTTTCTATCTCTATGTCTTCTGTACCTCCTCTTTAAAGCCAATAACTCTTAGATTTGCCCTTTTGAGGCTGTTTTCTAGATCTCGTAGGCATGCTTCATTGTTTTTTATTATTTTTTCTTTTGTCTCCTCTGACTCTGTATTTTCAAGGAGCCTGTCTTCAGGCTCACTAATTCTTCTGCTTGATTAATTCTACAATTCAGAGATTCTGTCTTTTCTGAAAGATTAAAATAAATAAAATTTTAAAAAGGCTGGGCACAGTGGGTCACACCTGAAATCCAAGCACTTTGAAAGGCCAAGGCAGGCGGATCAACTGAGATCAGGAGTTCGAAACCAGCCTGGCCAACACAACAAAACCCTATCTCTACTAAAAATACAAAAATTAGCCAGGCGTGGTGGTGGGCATCTGTAATCCCAGCTACTCGGGAGGCGGAGGCAGGAGAACCTCTCGAACCCAGGAGACGGAGGTTGCAGTGAACTGAAATTGTGCCACTGCACTCCAGCCTGGGTAACAGAGTAAGACTCTGTCCCCCCCACAAAAAAAAAAAGAAAGAAAGAAAAGGAAAAAGGAAAAAGAAAAAAAATTTTCAAAAAAATTTTCAAAAGAGTCGTACATTCTTCAGCATGTCCATTGTATTTTTCAACTATTGAATTTCTGCCTGATTCTTTTTAATTATTTCATTCTCCTTGTTAAATTTATCTGATAGAATTCTGAATTCTTTCTCTATGCTATCTTAATTTTTTTTTTTTGGAGATGGAGTCTCACTCTGTCACCCAAGCTGGAGTGCGGTAGCGTGATCTCGGCTCACTGCAACCCCTGCCTCCTGGGTTCAAGCGATTCTCCTGCCTCAGCCTCCTGAGTAGCTGGGACTGCAGGCACGTGCCACCACGCCCAGCTAATTTTTTGTATTTTTAGTAGAAATGGGGTTTCACCATGTTAGCCAGGATGGTCTCGATCCCGATCTCGCGATCCGCCCTCCTCAGCCTCCCAAAGTGCTGGGATTTCAGGCATGAGCCACCGTACCCGGCCCTTGAATTTCTTTTAGTTTCCTCAAAACATCTATTTTGAATGATCTATCTGAAAGATCATATATCTCTTTTTCTCCAGGATTGGTCCCTGATAGCCTATCTAGTTCATTTGATGAGGTCATGATGGTATTGATGCTTATAGGCGTTTGTCGGTATCTGGGCATTGAAGAGTTAGGTATTTATTGTAGCCTTCACAGCCCTGGGCTTGTTTGTGCCTGTCCTTCTTGGGAAACCCAATAATGCTGTGGTTTTGCAGACTCTTAGAAGTACTGCCTTGGTGGTCTTGGATAAGAGCTGGAAGAATTTTCTGGATTATCAGGCATAGACTCTTGTTCTTTTTGCTTACTTTCTCCCAAACATACAGTCTCTCTCTCTCTTGCTGAGCCACCTGGAGCTGGGGGTGTGGTGACACAAGCACCCCTGTGGCCGTCACTGGGACTGCACTGGGTCAGATCTGAAGCCAGCACAGCACTGGGTCTTTGCCAGGGCCTTCCCTTCAGGGCAACAAGTTCCTCTAGGCTAAGAGCTTCTCCAGAGATGCTGTCTGGGAGCCAGGGATTGGAGTCAAAAACTTTGGTAATTTACCTGATGTTCTGTTCTACTGTGGCTAAGCGGGCGCTGACACCACAATACAAAGTCCCTCCCACTCATCCCTCCCCTTTCCTTAGGCAGAGGAGCCTCTCCCTATGGCAACCACCACCACCAGTCCACAGCAATTCTGCCAGTCCACCACCAATGTTCACTTAAAGCCCAAAGGTGGCCGGCTGTGGTGGCTCACGCCTGTAATCCCAGCACTTTGGGAGGCCGAGGCAGGTGGATCACTTGAGGTCAGGAGGTCAAGACCAGCCTGACCAACATGGTGAAACACTGTCTCTACTAAAAATACAAAAATTAGCCAGGTGTGGTGGTGGGTGCCTGTAAGCTCAGCTTCTTGGGAGGCTGAGGCAGGAGAACCTCTTGAACCCAGGAGACGGAGGTTACAGTGAGCCCAGATGGTACAACTGCACTCCAGTCAGGGTGACAGCAAGACTCCGTCTCGAAAAAATAAAAATAAAAATTAAAGCCCAAGAACTCTTCCATCAGCTTGTGGTGAATGTTGCCAAGCCTGGGACTTACCTTTCAGGGCAGCAGGCTCCCCTCTGGACCTGCCATGAGCCAGAGGGGCAGGTCCAGGACAGAATCTACACCTAGATTTGGGGACTCCAAGAGACTGCTTGTTGCTCTGCCCTACCATGGTTGAGCTGGTGCCTAAGGTACAAGACAAAGTCCCCTTTACTTTTCCCTCTGCTTTTCTCAAACTGCAGGAGTCTTTCACCATAGCCACCATAGCTGGGAATGTGCTGGGTTACTGCTGAAGACAGCATGTCTCAGAGTCTCACCCAAGGCCCACAGTGTACTACCTGGTTATTGCTGCTAGTTATGCAGGGCCCAGGGGCTCTTTAGTCAGCAGGTGATGAATCCTGCAAGTACTGGGCCCTTCTCTTCAAGGCAGCAGCTTCCCTTTTGGCCCAGGTATCTAAAAATGACATCTGGGAGTTGGGCCTGGAATGGGGGCCTCATGACTTGGCCCAGTGCCCTATCCTACTGTGGCTGAGCTGGTATCCAAGATGCAAGACCAAGTCCTCTTTACCCGTTGCTCATCTCTCCTTAAGCAGAGGGAAGGAGTCACTTTCGTTGCTAGGAGCTGCACTGCCTGGGATTGGAGAAGGGGTGGCACAAGCCCTCCCTTAGCCATACCGGCTGGTGTCTACCTAGGTCAAGTGCAACCCTAGTCCATTGGCTGTAAGTCCAGCCGAGCACTAGGAGTTGTCTAGGAATTGCAGTCCTTGGGTCCTAGACTGCCTTTTCTTTTTTTTCTTTTGTGGAAATATGGCCTCCTTATGTTGCCCAGGCTGGTCTCAGACTCCTGGGCTCAAGTGTCCCTCCTGCCTCAGCTTCCCCAAGTGCTGGGATTATAGGTGTGAGCCACCGCATCCAGCCTAGACTGCCTTTCAAGTTTACCTAGGACACCAGAGCACTTTGGCCCATGGTGGTGAGGCTTGCAGAGAAACTCAAGTTCCAACCACTGGGACAGGTGATTTCCCTCTGGCTAGGGCTGGCCCAGATGCCCCCCTCCACATGCAGGTGCCGGTCGATCCCAGCATGACTTTGCTCTCCGCTATGACAGTGCAGCAGTGAGTTCAATATAAAGTCCCCCACCCCATGCCCTCCCTCCCCAAAATGCAAAGACTCTCTTTCCACGCTGCAGGGACACTGCCAGGGAGGACGGAAGGGGCGTCACAATTCAAGACTGTCTCTCCTGCCCTCCTCAATGTTTCCTTTAGTGATATGAAGTTAAATCCAGTTACTGTGATTGCTCACCTGATTTTTGGTTCTTGTGATGATGCTTCTCTGTGTGCAGATAGTTGTTAAAAGTTAGTGTTCCAGGCTGGGCACAGTGGCTCATGCCTGTAATCCCAGCACTTTAGGAGGCTGAGGTGGGAGGATCATTTGAGGCCAGGAGTTCAAGATCAGTCTGAGCAACATAGTGGGACCCCATCTCTATAAAAATTTAAAAATTACCCAGGTGCAGTGGTGCAGGCCTGTTGTCCCAGCTACTTGGAAGGCTGAGGTGGGAGGACTCCTTGGGCTCAGGAGGTTGAGGCTGCAGTGAGCCCTGATGGTGCCACTCCACTTCAGCCTGGGTGATAGAGGAAGACTCTGTCTCCAAAAAATAAAAATAAAATAATAATAATAATTGCATTCGTAGGCCGGGTGCAGTGGCTCACACCTGTAATCTCAGCAGTTTGGGAGGCCAAGGTGGGTGGATGACCTGTGGTCAGGAGTTCAAAACCAGCCTGACCAACATGGTGAAACCCCATCTCTACTAAAAATAAAAAATTAGCCGGGCATGGTAGTGCACACCTGTAATCCCTGCTACTTGGGAGGCTGAGGCAGGAGAATTGCTTGAACCCGGAAGGCAGAGGTTGCAGTGAGCAGACATCGCGCCATTGCACTACAGCCTGGGCAACAAGAGCGAAAATCCATCTCAAAAAAAAAAACGCATTTGCTTCTTAGGGGGTTTCAGACATTTAAGAGAATCCTATGTATTAAATGCAAGATTTTTTTTTTTTTTTTAAGATGGAGTCTTGCTCTTGTCACCCAGGCTGGAGTGCAATGGCGCGATTTCGGCTCACTGCAACCTCTGCCTCCTGGGTTCAAGCGATTCTGCTGCCTCAGTCTCCTGAGTAGCTGGGATTATAGGCGCTTGCCACCATGCCCAGCTAATTTGTATATTTTTAGTAGAGACAGGGTTTCACCATGTTGGTCAGCCTGTTCTCGAACTCCTGACCTCAGGTGATCCACCCGCCTCGGCCTCCTAAAGTGCTGGGATTACAGGTATGAGCCACTGTGCCCAGCTAAATGAAAGATTTTAATTAAATGCTTAAATGAGTTTAAGTCTAAAATCAATATTTAGGCCGGGCGCAGTGGCTCACGCCTGTAATCCCAGCACTTTGGGAGGCTGAGGTGGGTGGATCACAAGGTCAGGAGATCGAGACCATCCTGGCTAACACGGTGAAACCCCATCTCTACTAAAAATACAGAAAAATTAGCCAAGCGTGGTGGTGGGCACCTGTAGTCCCAGCTACTCAGGAGGCTGAGGCAGGAGAATGGCGTGAACCTGGGAGGCAGAGGTTGCAGTGAGCCGAGATCACGCCACTGCACTCCAGCCTGGGTGACAGAGAAGACTCCGTCTCAAAAAAATAAATAAATAAATAAATAAATAAATAAATAAATAAATAAAATCAATAATGTGTTTTAATCAGTTTGGATTATTAAATCCATAAATGTCTATGTATTAGTTGTGTACATAGTGTATAAATAGAAGAATATTATTTAATGCTTAAATGCTATTTGTTTAATAAATTCATAAGAGAAACAAAATTACATTAAGTAGAAATACCTTAATGACATTTAGACACTGAGAGGGTGTCCCAGGAAAAGAGAGGGGCACCTGAACTTGAAGGCTGGTGACAGATGTTTAAGGGGCCACTAACATACCAGATAGATTTTATCTTCCTAGACTCATCATCTTTGCACCTATTAATCATGAACAGAGTTAGTTCTCCTGAATTCATCATATGAAAATGTCACAGTGGACAGAGAGACTCAAGAGAAGTGAGTTTTGACTGGGTGAGTCAAGAGGGATTATGGTCCTGAGTAGCCAGGGAGTGATTTAAGTACGGGATTCAGAGAAAGGAGGGACAGAGGAAGAGGTGCTAAAGAAACAACCCTCTGGCCGGGCGGGGTGGCTCACGCGTGTAATCCCAGCACTTTGGGAGGCTGAGGCGGGCGGATCACGAGGTCAGGAGATCAGACCATCCTGGCCAACATGGGGAAACCCCGTCTCTACTGAAAAATACAAAAATTAGCTGGGGATGGTGGCACATGCCTGTAATCCCAGCTACTCGGGAGGCTGAGGCAGGGGAATCGCTTGAACCAGGGAGTCGGAGGTTGTGGTAAGCAGAGATCACGCCACTGCACTCCAGCCTGGCAACAGAGCGAGACTCCGTCTCAAGAAAAAAAAAAAAAAAAAGAAAGAAAGAAAGAGAAAAAAAAAACACCTGCTGCATCAGTCACAACTGCCATCCTGAGGCCAAGAAGAACTAAATGGTCTCAAAATTATTTCACAACTTGTTGCTACCACCTTTCCACAGTGGGGCTTGTCTAGCCAGAGAATCAAACATTAATTCACTTTAGGCTGGTCATGGTGGCTCATACCTGTAATCCCAGCACTTTGGAAGGCCGAGGCAGGAGGATCACTTGAGGCCAGGAGTTCAAGACCAACCTGGGCAACAAGCGAGACCCCCATCTCTACAAACAAACAAACAAACAAAAGAGTAAGCACGTCATACACATCATAGAATTCTAAGAACTGAAGTAATCTTGTAACATTTAGTTCATGGTAAATACATAAAGGAAACTATTATTATTATCACCCAACAGTGTGTGTGTAAGTGAAAAATGTCTTTTTTACTGACAAATGGCTAAGTGAATGCTGTTTGTTTGAGGGATGAAATATTTAAATGAGAAGCCAACTCAACTCTTCCTCTTGATCTTAGAGTCATTCTCTCAAGTGTAACTCCCAGTGCAAAGCATCACATCAACTTATCAATCGACTGTGATGTCAACTACAGCCTCTGCACCAGACCAGCCCTCCTCTGTGGGACGAAGAACTATCCTGTGGTCCTGCCAGGACTGCCTCACTGGGACAACGCACTGCATTAGGATCTATCCCTTACGATGGCTCAGGGTTTTCCAGTCTCTAAGGCACCTTATCATTATCTTACCTAAACTTCCTAATAATCCTGTGAGGGAGGCTGGACATCTGCTTTCATCCCATGTTACAGATGAGAAAACGAAGGTCCACAGAGGTCAATGACTTGCCTAAGGTGACCTGGCACAGAAAGTTGTGTGGCAGAAGGGGAACTTCTGTTTCCTAACTTCTGGATAAGCGCCCTCCTAGGATAGGAGAAATGAATGACTCTTGCTACTCCAGCCACCACTTCCACTAATTAACCACTAATAAAAATGTAAAAATCAGTATGCCAGCAGTAGTCCCTGTTGCAAACATTAGGACCTTTCTCATATCACAGATTACTGAAGACATTCCCTCTCTTTTTGTTGTAGTTGTTGTTGTTTGGTTTTTGGGTGTTGTTTTTGTTGTTGTTGTTGTTTTTCTGAGATGGAGTTTCCCTCTTGTCACCTAGGCTGGAGTGCAATGGTGCAATCTCAGCTCACTGCAACCTCTACCTCCCAGGTTCAAGCGATTCTCCTACCTCAGTCTCCCGAGTAGCTGGGATTACAGGCGCCCACCACCACACCTGGCTAACTTTTTATTTTTAGTAGAGACAGGGTAGCACCATGTTGGCCAGGCTGGTCTTGAACTCCTAATCTCAGGTGATCCACCCTCCTTAGCCTCCCAAAGTGCTGGGATTACAGGTGTAAGCCGCCTTTCTTTTCTTTTCTTTTTTTTTCCTTTTTAGTCTTGCCCTGTCACCCAGGCTAGAGTGCAGTGGAATGATCATGGCTCACTGCAGCCTCAACCTCCCAGGCTCGGGTGATCCTCCCACCTCAGCCTCCCAAGTAGCTGGTACCACAGGCATAACACCATGCCAAGCTAATATTTTATTTTTTTTAAAGTTTATTTTTGCTCTTATGATGATGATTTTTTTTTTGAGACAGAGTCTCACTCTGTTGCCCAGGCTGGAGTGCAGTGGCACAATCTCAGCTCACTGCAACCTCCATCTCCCAAGTTCAAGCAATTCTTATACCTCAGCCTTCCCTCTAGCTGGGATTACAGGCGTGCAACACCATGCCTGGCTAATTTTTGTATTTTTAGTAGAGATGGGGTTTCACCACATTGGCCAGGCTGGTCTCCACCTGCCTTGGCCTCCCAAAGTGTTGGGATTACAGGTGTGAGCCACCATGCCCGGCCTACTCTTAATTTTTTTTTTAAGTGCTCAAGCTAATTTTTTAATTACTATTTGTAGAGATGAGGTCTCCCTATGTTGCCCAGGCTGGTCTAGAATTCCTGGGCTCAAGTAATCCTCCTGCCTCAGCTCCCAAAGTGCTGAAATTACAGACATGAGCCACCATGCCCAGTTCCACCATTTTTTAAGCAACAACTAACGTTAATCCAAAGACCACCCTGAGGGGACTGGCCACATCCCCCTGGGACCCTCCACTGTTAAAGTCCATCTTCCCTGAGCCATCAGCACCAAGCATCAGATGAACTTCACTGCCCTGGCTCAGTGTTGCCTGTGTGTGAGCCTCAGCTCCCCATCCTCTCTGGGCCTCAGTGTCTTCCCTGTGCAGTATGCCCCGCAGTGCCCACCCAATGGGGTTGTTGTGAGGATTTGCTGGAAGGGTGTGTGTGCAAGCCCCTTGTCCAGGACCTGGCCTATATGTAAATATAATAAAAGTTCGTTGTTATTTCTGTTAATTGCATATTGTACTTGAATACTCCCTGGACAGATAATGAGAAAAATGAGGTTTGAGTCACCACCCCTGTCACTTGTAACCCTGTGTGACTTGCTTAATCCCTCTAAATCTCAGTTCCTCCATCTGTAAAAATCTTTTTTTTTTTTTGAGACGGAGTCTCGCTCTGTCACCCAGGCTGGAGTGCAGTGGCGCGATCTCGGCTCACTACAACCTCCAACTCCCGGGTTCAAGCGATTCTCCAGCCTCAGCCTCCTAAGTAGCTGGCATTACAGGCACCATGCCTGGCTAATTTTTGTGTTTTTAGTAGAGATGAGGTTTCACCATGTTCCCCATGTTGGACTAGGCTGTCTCGAACTCCTCAGGTGATCCGCCTGCCTCGTTCTCCCAAAGTGCTGGGATTACAGGTGTGAGCCACCGTGCCTGGCCGCAAAAATCTTATAATGCCTTCCTCACAGAGAATAATGAAGGTTAAATGATGAAACGCACAGAGCATTTTAATGCTGAGAAGGGCTTCATGAGGTTGTTGAAAAATGTCAGTGAGGCTCTGGGAGGGCTACAGCCGGAGTGTAGATTAGACTCTGGGTGTAGCCGCATGGCTCAGGAATTGAGTGGAAGAAGAGAGATGATGAGAGAGGGGGAGGGACAGAGAGAGAGGATCAGCCATTCCTTCGTGCCTGCTGAGTGCCTGCCCTGGTCCAGACCCTGTTCTTTGTGCTGGGGGTGCAGCAGTGAACTAAAGAGACAAAGCCCCTGTCCTCGTGGTGCTTATGCTCTAGTGAGTCTGTGGAACAGAGCAGGGGACTGTTGACACCAAATTTAAATGTGCGAATAGGAATGACTATGCAGAAGAGGCCACCAGGAAGAGGGACAGAGAGAAATGAGACTCCAGGCTTGATAGAATGACCTTGGGCTGGTGGAAGAGGCAGGTGCTGAAAACAGGCATGGAACCCCTTGCCCTAGGGCAGGGAGAAACCAAGAGAGTCCAAGCTGGGAAAAGAATCAGGTGAGGAGGTTGAGGTGTTGACGAAGGGAGTGTGCTTGGTGATGGGAAAGGTGGGCTCTGAGGAAGGTGTTCCAGGAAGGACTTCTCAGTGTAGGATGGAGCCTTATGGCAGACGCTGGGACCGGGCATCTTCTCCAGAAATGCCCATCTGCCACTCAGGCAGGCAGGCAGGCAGCTCCCTACCCCTTGAGTTCTGGTGTTTTTCCTACTCCTTTCTCCCCTCCCACAAGCTGCCCAACTCCCAGGGACCTGACTGGATGGAGAGTACATACACCTGGACCACTGCAGGCATGGCACAGGGAAGAGAGAATCCAGACCCAAATCACCTCCAACCCACACCTGCTGATTCTTCCGTGCTTTTGTAGCCTGACCCTTCGCTGCCGTCACTCCAACTCCTGTGTGAGGATGTTGAGCTCCTGGGAAAACCGAAGGGAGGGCAGGAGAGACAATACTGTGACCAAAGGCTGAGACTGTGTCATCACTTGGGAATGAAAGCATCAAATGCCACCCCAGGTGGGATTGTTGGCTTCAAGGTTTTTTTCTCCCTTTCCTTTCTCCCTTTTCTCTTTTCCTTTATCGAGGTCTGCTATTTACTCAGCAACTCTTCAAAGTCTGTGGTTCTGTGGGACACAATGTGCTAAATGATGCCTGTAAGGGAGGAGGTCGATGTACCTCCACTTCCAAGAAGCTTGACTTTCCGGGGAAGAAAAGACAAGTGAAGCGTAGACATTGCGACTTTTGGCTTCCTGTTTCTGTGAGTTGCAAGGAATCCTGTCCACCTGGCCCTGGAGCCGCCTTCTGGGACCTCATCCTTGCCCCCTGCTGCAGGTGCCATCTCAATTAGTCCTGCTGTCCCTCCTCCCCCTTTCAGATTCCAGCACAATTCTGGAACAGCTCTCCCACCTGGCCGGGGTGAGACTGAGGCTCCACCCTCAAGCACTTGGGCACTGATCCTTTGTGAAGGATGGGGATAGCAAGACAGCGTCTGCAGGGGCCCCTAGAGGGCCGTGGGGATGGCTAGAAAACAGGAATGAACAGACTCACTTCAGCTTATGCCCAGACTCACTTCAGCTTATGCCCAGAAACAAAGAAACCAAGGAGAAGCAAATTCCATAAGTGCTTTTATTTTATTGGAGATGAGCAGGGGAGGCACTGAAAAGTGGGGATAGTGCTGGAAACATGCTGACAGGGCCTGGATTGAGCCCACACAGCAAGGGGCGGGAGCAGGACTCTAACTCCCAATGTTGGGTTTCCCTCTATCGTGCTCTAGCCCCACTGCAACCTAGGGCTTGGAGGATTAGGGAAGCCAGCTGGGATGTTCCAAGAAGAGCCAGGAGGGCGGAGGACTCCAGGAGGAAATGGGTTATTGATACCTGGGTATAGATGAATATTCCCCCAGCTGCCTCCTGGATACCGATTAATATTCCCCCAGCTGCCTCCTGGATACCGATTAATATTTCCCCAGCTGCCTCCTGGATACCGATTAATATTTCCCCAGCTGGTACCTGGGGGTTGATTATTGATACCCCAGATTCCCTCAGGGTGTGGCATGGGCCTCGTTCCCCAACCAGTCCCAGGGCCTCCACCTCCCCAGGACACACTGGGATTCAGGGTACCCCAGGGGTGATCAGGCAGAACCCTGTGGATGAGAGACCAGGGAGGGCGTTGGGAAAGGATTTTTCCCCCGGCTCCCAGTGAATTAGAACGGGGCAGTCGTCTGGACTCCGAGTCCTGGTGGAGGAGTGAAGCCTTGGGTGAGAGGCCTGTGGCATCGGGAGAAGACTCCCCAGGCAAAGGGCCACTGCCCGGAGCGAGGGCCGCAGCACTGGAGAGGTAAGAGAGTTCTTCAGGCAGCGCTTCCCCCAGGCGGTCCTCAGCCGCAGCAGCCATCATCTGCCAAGGATCCTCAGGGGGCCAGGAATCCATGGCAGGCAGCCCCCACGATGGAGGCCACCTCTGCACTGCAGAACCTCCTGCAGGTGGGAAGCCATCTGATGCAGGCACGCTGAGCTTCAGAGGAACCCTTGCCAAGTCATTAGACCTAGGGTCCAGAGCGGGCTGCGGATGTTCAGAGTTAGAGGGGCCAGTGGAGGAAGGTTGTCCGAGCTGAGGCAAGTTGGTCCCCAAGTTTTGGGAAACTTTCTCCTCCACAACACCGATGCTCCGGGCAAAGAGGCCTGAGGGAAAGGGAAGATAAAGCAACCAGTGGTCTCCAGTCCCCGAGTCCCCAGTTCCCTTTGCTTCCCCTATGCCTATTCTTCCTTTTCCCTCAGGGACCTAAATGTGTACCCTCCTGCCTTTACCCCTTTCCTTAATTCCTGTTTCCTGGGGGACCTCCAGTCCCTCCTGCCCAAGGGCATCACGGCCTCCATACCTGGGAGATGAAGACAGACCAGGAGCAGGCCCAGAGGAGCGCAGCTCCCTGCCACGCGGCCCTGCATCCTGCTCAGCACCCGATCTCCCTCAGCCCCAAGACAGCCAGCCCTTTATCCTGGTAGTGGGGTGGGGGACAGCAGAAACAGGCTGGGCTAGTGGTTGTGAAGACAATAAACCTCCACATTCCACCCTCATTCCTAATGTGGTCTGTGGCAACAGGTGTCACTTGAATGAATGTCCCAGAGGAAGCTGGGTGTCTCCCGCCCTGGCTCCTTTCCTTGACCTCCCTGCCCCTTCTTGGCCCAGGTGTCCTGGCTCACAGCTCATCCCTGGTTGCCAGCCTCCCCAGCCCTGCTTCTCTATACACAAGGACCTCCACCCTGGGGTCCCACTCTCTTAATTGCCTCTCTCAGCAACAGAAACACTTGTTTCTTTTTGGGAGCTGGATTGTTTCCTCCCAGCACCCCTTTCTCATGCATCCTCATATCTCCTTCACCTTGGCCCCAACCTGCAGGAGGTTCTGGGGTGCAGAAGTGGCCCCATCTGAGGAGCTGCTCCTACATGAGACCCTGGATCTAGCTAGGGAAATGGACCTGGATGCCATCCTTATGAGATACTGACTAATTCCTGCTGCTGCAGTGACAAATTACCATGAACCGAATGGCTTACAACAACATGGATTTATTACTTTACAGTTTTGGAGATCAGAAGTCTAAAACAGGTCTCAGTGGATTAAAATAAAGGTGTCAGCAGGGCTGTGATTCTTTCTGGGGGCCTCAGGGGAAAATCCCTTTCCCTGCTTTTTCACCTTCTAGAGGCATCCTGTGTTCTTTGGCTCATGGTCCCCTTCCTCCATCTCCAAAGCCAAAATCAGCCATTTCTTACACTGTATCACTCAGACTTCCTCTTCTGCCTCCCATGTCCACATTAAGGGACCTGGTGACTACACTGGACCCACCTGAATAATCCATGATAATCTCTGTGAAGTCAGCCGAATAGCAACCTTAATCCCATCTGGAACCTTAATTTCCCTTTGCCATGTAACCTAATTCCTACGTTCCAGGGATTAGGATGTGGACATCTTTGATGGTGTTGGGGTTGAAGACATCATTCTGCCTGCTACTGGTGGTCAGATGTGCCACAGAGTATAAGAAACCTTGGGAGAAAGTGGCTATTTCCAAGTAACAGTAGAGGAGAGCCTTTAAATGCTGCTGTCAAATGGCCAGGACTTGATCCTTGTTGAAGCTGGGCGATGAGAATGTAGAGATTCATTAACAGTTTGTTGGCTTTTAAATATGTTTGCAAATTTTATTATAAAAATGCAATGGCTTTGTTCTCTCCATGGCTTCCGGGAGGCCCCAGGAGTAGGCTTCCCTGGCTGCCCAAGGTCTAAACATGAGCTGTTGGCTGATTCTACTGCTGTGTCCTCCCCACCTGCCCCTGCTGGCTTAACCACTGGAGGAGTGAAGAGCTCCTCTCCAGAACTGGCAGTGGATGGAGCCCAGAGGCCTTTTTGGATGACATGCATGAGTTTTACACAAGCTTTTAATTTGGAGCACAGCAGGAGACTCGAGGAAACACCACATCAGAGAGCCTTCTCTCCCTGCAATTCCCATTCATGAAGCATCTGAGGACCTCGATTCCTGCCATTGGCTGCAGATCAGGGGCCAGATGCTGGACCAAGGGTGATTCAATCCCTTTCTGGTCAATGTAATACATTTTTGCTGATTCCAGACTTGGAGTTTCAACAGTTCTAAATTCAGGACCAGACAGCACCACCCTGATAGGAGGGAATGGGTTAAGTGCTACAGTAGGGGTGAATTCCTTTGCAGCCAAGCAGAGGCTCTGAGAGGTGGCCTGGGGTGGGGGGTGGGGCTCCTACAGGGACAAGCACAATCCACTCTGCCCTCCTTGGGATGCGGGAACTTCGTCCGCCTCAGCCTCTCCCTGCCTGTCTCAGGACTTAAGTCGCATGGACCCCACCACACACTCCACTTTCTCTCTCTTCTCCAGTGGAAGCGACTCCTCTTTCCCACTGGGGCACTCTGCCTTCTCAGCCCTCACCTGAGAGCCATGTTGCTCACACTCTCACTCTGGACCCCAGCAGAGCAGGGAGTGTGAAGATGGAGAGACCACTGGCAGCTCTGTTCTGCCACAGGCTGGGCCTCTTGATCTAGGCCAGTGAGTCACCCTGCTTGGCTGCACTCCCTGCCCCGCTCCCATCCTCTCAGTCCTTTACTCTCTCCACCCCCAGCTCCAGGAACAACGCCCAACTGGCCTCCTACTCAGCTGACAGGAATCTGGTTGGAGTTGTTGTGTCCCAGCCTTCCCAAGCTTCCAGGTGTCCCAGAAACCCAGGAAATCGAGACTCATGACTCCCAGAGAGGATGGCATCTAGAAGGTGAGGAATGCTAATGGTGGAAGAAAAGGAGTTTGGGTGGGGAGGGGAGGGGAGGGGAGGGAGAGAAAACACTGAGGGCCCTAAATAAGGGGAAGGGGGACCCCACGGTGAATGAGGAATGGGAAGAGAATGGATTTCCTGGAGCAATGAGAGAGGAGGGAAATGGCGGAAGGATCTGGGAGGCCAGGCAATCTCTGCTTTCAGTTCAACAAATATTTATTGTCTTCCTCCTCTGTGGGAGGAGCTGGAAGGTAGAAGAGAAACACAGCCCGCTTTTGAAGGAAAATGAGGGACACAGAGACCTCTAGAGGCGTAGGAAGAGCACCACCCAGACTCTCAGAGGAGACCCAGGACTCCAAGAAGGCAAAAAGTCTGCACCTAGTCCCCACAGTTTACTGAGCCATCTGTCCAGGATCCAGGGACAGCAGGGAGCCTGCTCCAACCTCTGAGGGTGCCCCAGTGTCTCCCTCACCCAGGGAATCATCTGGGCACTGAGGGAAATGGCCACAGGAAGGGGCTGAGATAAGGGCCTTGAGAGGCAATGGGTGTGTTGGGGACGGTGATCTAGGAGGGCGTGGTGAGCTCTGTAATGGAGGGTGGGGTGGAATTGGGAGCGAAAGCCCAGTGGCATATTGGGTGGGTTGACTAGATGTCGAAGAGAGGTCAGTGAAAAGTGGCCACTGTTTCCAGATGATGGTTTGACTTTGCTTTATTTGGTAAAGGGGAAGAGGAAGGTATAACTTCTTCAGGCGTCAGAGGTGCTCTGAGAGCATTTCAGGGGTTTCCCAGTTGAGAAGGTGATGGGGGTGTTACTCAATGGACCATTTCAACACAGTAGAGGGAATTGTAAGGGGTGGTGATCTGGCTGAGGGGCACTGTGGTGGAATGGGAATTTAAACAGTAGGAGAGAATCAAGAGAGGAGCTTTGAATCTACCATTTTGAGAAGAGGAAGGAGGAAGGGGTGATAAGAGAGAGTCTGCAACCTTAGGGTAGTAGAGAAAGCAGAACCACTCTTTTGGGAAGGAGGGAAACTGAGCTAACCCTATGCCTGGGCACTGGCCTTCTCCCATATGGGATATAGTGTATGTGCTTGTTTGTGCCCAAGGCATGCACACACACAACAGTTGACTTATGGACTGTCGAGTAACTCTCCTTGGGGTAGGAAAACTTCAGGGTCAGCTAGCTGGGGCCCCAGAGGCTTCACTTGGGCTAGGATATCCCGGATGGAGCGGCAGGGGATCTTTCCAGCACTGCTGGAGCCACAGGGCTTGGCACCAGCGGAGGGATCAGGATGGGGAGAGCCATCGGGGCCCCCAGTCAGTGTCAAGGAGGAGACAGACATGCAAGGGTGACCAGAAGAGCTGGACTTGCTGCCACAAGGCTGAAGGATGATTTTGCCACTCGATTGGGAACTGGAGCTGCTGCTGAAGGAGCCGGTGCCTGGTGGGGAGCAGGGGCTCTGGGAAGCACTGCCGCAGGGATGGTAGGGTGAACCGGAGCTGCTGGAAATGCTAGAACTGCTGGGGACTCGAGAACTGGAGGGAGAGCAGGGTCCCTTGGAGCCCGTGGAGCCGCCTCCACAGAGCTGGACCCCACCAGTCCCCACTGGCTGGAACGCAATGGCCGAGGAAGCTGCCGACTGGCTGGGGATGATGGGGTTGCTGGAGAAGTATTTGCCCTCAGAGATGGGGGGCCCAGCTGCAAAGGAAGGGACCCCTGGAGAGCCTTTCACAGGGTTCTCTTTGGTGAAGTAGCCCACAGGATAGATTTTACCCTTACTGTAGGTCATGCCTGGAACCAGATAACTGTCAGAGGAGCCACCCACCACCTCGTAGCCACCATAGGATTTGTCTACAGAGGTGATTGGGGGACAGGGCTTGCCTGGAAGGCCACCATTGCTACAGGGGGGACCTTGAACCACTCCAGGGGCACCAGAACCGTGCTGGTCCACCACCACCACCACAGGCCTCTGACCCCCTGACACAGAGTGGGAGCTGGGGATGTAGGGGCCAGAGTGCGAGACGATGGGCCCTCCACTGCAGGGAGAGTCGGGGATGTCCGAACTACAGGGACGCTGGTTGGAGCTGACGCTTTGGCCACTGCTGGATACCCCAGAGGTTTGGGAAGAGGAAGAGCTTTGTCCAGGCTGGGAAGGGTTTAGTATTCCGCGGTAAGAGTTGTCATTGGTTGGCAGAGCAGAGCCATTCCCTACTTGGAAGCTGCTGCTGCTGAACTGAAAGCTGCTGCTGCTGCTCGAATGAGAGCTGCTGCTTCCCGAGTGAGAGCCGCTGCTTCCCGAGTGAGAGCTGCTGCTCCCCAGCTGGGAGGAACCGGATGCACCTTGTAGACTAGAGCCAGATCCGGAGGAGTAGCTGACCTGGGAATACCCCGTTCCTGGCTTAAAAGATCCTGCAGAACCACCCTGGGCAATGCTGGATCCGCTGGAGCTACCACTGGAGCCACCACCAGAGCTTCTGGCACTGGAAATGGAGCTGCCAGAACTGCTGGAGCCACTGTAGCTACTGAAGCCGCTGGAGTCACCCTTCCCAGTGAGGCAGGGGTCGTTAGGGGAGGTGATACGCGTGGGGTCCTTACAGGGGTCTGAGAAGGTGCCAATGCTCTTAGCCAAGGTCCCTGTGGAGGAAAGCAGTGGTTAGTAAGGGCCAAAGAGGCTTGGCTTCCTCCCTCACCTTTCTGCCTTATCTCAGTAATCGGCCTCTCGGGTTTCTCCCAAGCAGAGCGCAGGGAGAGTTTAGGGATGGAGAAAGGAGGAAGAACTGGCTATTGTCTCTAAAGGATATTGAGGTGGCCGAATAAAGGCATTTCTTTGTTTGGGAAGGGTGGGCAAACACCAACCAGAAAAATAGAAAATTACGTGCCAAAGTGAGTGACCTCAAAGGAATACATTGAATATAAGAGGGGGCTGGGCACAGTGGCTCACGCCGGTAATCCCAGCACTTTGGGAGGCTGAGGTGGGAGGATTGCATGCGCCCCAGAGTTCAAGACCAGCCTGGGCAACATAGACCCCATCTGTATTTTGTTTTTTAATTAAAATTTTTTTTAAAAAGAAGAGGGAATGGAGAAGGGGCAGGAACAAATAGGTCTAAAAGAAAGGACCCTGAAGAGACAGAGAATTGGGGAAACTGAGGCTCTGAGGAGTCCAGGCGTAAATTCTTAGGGGAAAAATCCTGGGCCAGACAGTGGGACCAGAGGGAAGAAGACAAAAGGCAAAACAATGGAGGGCTGAGAAGTGGAGACACATATAGAAGGAGACACTGGAAAAAGACAAAGCTGGGGGCAGAGGGGCTGAAATAAAGGAAAGGGCACTCGAGGACTAAGATTTGGTCACCAGCTTCTTCGTGAGAGCCCAGGCTGGGGTCAGGAATGGAAACCCTATTTCCTATCTCAGCACTGGCCATGCCAGTAAAGCTGGGTGGGGGCCAGGATGTGGGGTCACTACCTGTTGCTTCAGAACCTGCTGGTACCAGTGTGTCAGGACACCGCACCCTGAGCCAGCCCTGCTCTCGCTGGCCCAGCCCAGGGAACCAGGACGAAACCCCACGAACCTCCGAGGCTCCTGGCCACAATCAGCTTCCCTCTCTGAGCACACCTGCCTCTGTCCAGCCCCTCATCTGACTTCTGCTGCCTTGACTTCCCTCAGGGATGTGGAGCCACATCTTTCCTTATCTTTCCTTTCCTTTGCTCAAAACCCCAGGCCCAACTTACCCCATGGTTCCTCCATGACTCTTTCACCTGCGTTCCTTCTGCCTTCCCTAGCCCCTCCAGGTCCCACGTGTTACAAACAGAGCCACATACTAGCAAGTTACTGAACCTCTCTGAGCTTTAGTTTATACATTCAGAGGGGCCAAATTTTCCCTGCCTTCCCACAGCATTACTATGAAGAAAACTAAATGAGATCATCCACCTGGAAGTTTTTTCTTCTTTTTTTTTTTTTTTTTTTTTTTTGTGAGATGGAGTTTCTTGTTGCCCAGGCTAAAGTGCAATAACACGGTCTCAGCTCACTGTAACCTCTGCCTCCTTGGTGCAAGCGATTCTCCTGCCTCAGCCTCCCAAGTAGCTGGGACCACAGGTGCCCGCCACCACACCCAGCTAATTTTTTGTATTTTTAGTAGAGAGGGGGTTTCACCATCTTGGCCAGGCTGGTCTTGAACTCCTGACCTCAGGCGATTCACCTGCCTTGGCCTCCTGAAGTGTTGGGATTACAGGCACAAGCTATCATGTGCGGCCAGATGTTTTAGAAAGTGTAAAGCATTATATATTATGAATTATTACTGCCACTCATCCTGATCCCTCCACCAACAACCAGACTGCCATCCTCTGTGATGTCCCTGTTCTCTCCTCAGAAAGAAATTCTCTGCATGCACCTCCACGCCGAACCCCAGCTGTGCCAATTCCCTTCAGTCCTCTGCACGAATCCACCATGCATTGCCTCTCTCTTTCGCTATTCCCTCAGACACCAACCACCCACTAGACCATGGGAAGGTCGCAGAAATTCCTCAAGGGCTATAAGTACCCGGTGGTCAACAACACAGGTCCAGGGGTTGCCTGGCCTGGGGTTGAAATCTTGGCTTTGCTGCCTTCTAATGCATGATTTTGAGCTAGTTTCCTAACCTCTCCGAGCCTCAGTGTCCTCATCTGTAGAGTGGAAATAGCAAATCTCTTTTCATACCGTTCTTGTAATGATCAAAAGTGCTAATATAGGCCGGGTGTGGTGGCTCATGCCTGTAATCCCAGCACCTTGGGAGGCCGAGGCGAGCGGATCACTTGAGTCAGGAGTTCAAGACCAGCTTGACCAAAATGGTAAAACCCTGTTTCTACTAAAAATACAAAAAAAAGAAAATTAGCCAGGTGTGGTGATGGGCACCTGTTGTCCCAGCTACTCTAGAGGCTGAGGCATGAGAGTCGCTTGAACCTGAGAGGTGGAAGTTGCAGTGAGCCGAGATTACGCCACTGCACTCCAGCCTTGGAGACAGAGTGGGACTCCATCTCACAAAAAAAATAAAAATAAAAGTTCTAATATATAATCCAAATGTGCTTAAAACAGAGTCTAGCATATAAAAAGGCTCTAAAAATGATATTATTACTATTAAATGTCCAATCATTATCTTGTAGTGCTCCCATAATAAAAATCACCACCACCATTTATATAAACCTCTAGAATTTCCAAAGTACATATCACATACATTATTTAATTTGAGACACACAGACTAGAGGTAGGTGTCATTAACCCCACTTCAGAATTTCAGAAACTGGGGCTCAGGAAGTTTAAGAAACTTACCTGAGGCGACCATACAGTGAGGAGCAACCCCCAGACTCAAAAGGCAGATTCCAGAGCCCCTGCCCGTCCCCTTCGCTGGGTCCTCTCCCGGAGTCTCCCTCCCGCCTCCCTCCTGTTCCCAGGGCCCCCAGCCTCCTACCTGGCAGGAGGAGACCAGCCAGCAGCAGTGCCATCATCCCGTGCCCACCCACACGCCCCATCCAGGGTGCCCGAGACGAGCCCATCTCGGGCTGCACGGCCTCCTGACTGATGGCAGCTCGAGGACACCTGGGTCCTTTATGCCAGAGCTGGACATTCCCTGGGCAGGAGTCACTGTGGGGAGAGGAGGAGAGGTGGAGGGGGTGGGTGCCCCGGGGGAAGTTGGTGTGGCCGGGAGGAGCGTGGTAATCAGCCCGGTGCATCTGCCTACTCAGCAGCAGCAGTGGCTGCAGTGTGGGGTACCCATGGCCACGGGGCTCTAACGATCCTGCCACCTGACAGGCCTGGCCCCGGCTCCTCATTGCCTAACCCGGAACCAGGCGCTCTGCCCCACGGCCACCCACTCTGGGGCGGCCACTCTTGCCACGGGACCCAGCTGCCTGGCTCCTTAACTCTCCTGCCTACCGTGGCTTGGCCTGTCTCTCCATCTGCCCTCCACTCGCAGTCGTGGGTGTTTCAGCTTTTTCTTCCACACTTGGGTGCCCGCTCCAGCCCCACCCACCCAACCCCAATGAGGTCCCATTCACAGCCCCTGATCTGCTCCTTCCTTAGGACCCCATCACTCCACCTCCACTTTCCTCCTTCAAATATGAGTTCTGCCCCCATCCCCCAGGCTCCCCCTCCCACCACTCCCCAAGTACCAGGCCAGCCACATACCTATTACGTGTTCCATCACCTGGGGAACCTTCTCCTTCTCAGAAATGGGGCACCACATTCCCAAAACCAACTCCCTGACCTGTCGCTTCTGGGGGCCTCTGGGGACGGCATGGTGGCGGGGGTGGGGGGGGGTGCTGGGAGCCAGGGCTCAGCCAGGGGAGGGGCCTGGGCTGATGACCTCTGTCAAAGCTGGGCCTTGGTTACTCACAGGCCACTCACAGCCCCTCCCCATGGCTGGTAACCCAGACCTCAAGGGTGAGCAAGAGGCTAAGAAGGCTAATTGGGAAGGTGGTGGCCCCGTAGCCCATCTGCTGGCCCTGGGCTGGATGAGCGAGCAGGAAGCAGCAGCCAGCTCTGGGCAGGTCGAGGAGGGCCAGGCAGGCTCCCGGGTCCTCAAAGGATGAAAGGAGGCCAGGAGAACCGGAGCCCTGCCATCTGCTGAGAGGGTGGTGGCTTCTCCTCCATTGCGTTGGCCTCCCTCCTGCTCTGGCCCCTGCCCCGCCCCAGCCAATTAATTGCTCACTAGTATTGCGGGAGTATCAGTATCGGAGGGAGGTGCCTGCAAGTCCAGCAAGCTGCCCTCTCCTCCCCCAGGCCTCAGACACCCCTGCTCCCCTCACCCAAACTCACTTCCCAAACCTCATCTCCTCACAAAGGCAGCTCTGTCCCTGGGCCCCTTGGGCTGGTCTCTCCCATTCCCTCTACCTCCTGACCGCCCTTTAAGTTCAGACCAGCAGGAGGATGGAAATGTTTCCTGTCTGTGCTGTCCGATACGGTAGCCACTGGCCACATGGAGCAAGTTTAACCACCAAAGATTTGGAGCTTTAATTTTAATTAATTGTAATGATGTGGTTGGCCACGTGCAGCTAGTGGCTGCCATCTAGTCTTGCTCTTGACTTGCTAGTGACACTCAGAATGGGAGTGGGAGGAAAGAGGGGCTGAGGGAGCTGTGGAGAGAGGAAGGGATAGGACAGGGTCCCCTGAAGGGGGCTAATGCCTTGGGAAAAACAAACAAACAAAAAACACTGGCTTCAGAATGAAGATGACGTGGGTTCAAGTCCCAGCTAACCTCTTGGCTTTGGGCGGCTCTTCAAACCTTTCTGAACTTCCATCTCCTCATCTGTGAAATGGGGGTATTTTAAATAACACTTATTTCGCAAGGTTTTTGTGAACATCAAATGGGAAATTATCAAAAAGGTTAAATGGGACAAGGGGTGCAGTCCCCCAGTAGGAAGCCCAGCAAATGGAGCCCTGCAGGTGCTCCTGTCTTCATCCTTCCACTGGGGGAGACAAATAGGCCAGCTTCACCCCCACAGCCCCAGGCTCCCTTTCCTGAGTCTCCAGCCCAGCCAATGCTAGCAGAGTGTCTTCTGCTCCCTTCCTGCCTTGTATAGAGGTGCAGGCACAAATGTGAGACAGAGATACCATTTAAAGTGATGCTGCTCGGCTGGGCACGGTGGCTCACGCTTGTAATCCCAGCACTATGGGAGGCCGATGCGGGCGGATCACTTGAGGCCAGGAGTTCGAGATCAGCCTGGCCAACATGGCGAAACCCCGTCTCTACCAAAAATACAAAAAAATTAGCCAGGCGTGGTGGTGGGCGCCTGTAATCCCTGCTACTCGGGAGGCTGAGGCAGGAGAATCACTTGAACCCTGGAGGCAGAGGTTGCAGTGAGCCAAGATTGCACCATTGCACTCCAGCCTGGGTGACAAAAGGGAAACTCCATCTCAAAAAATAAAGTGATGCTGCTCTTTCCGAACATCATTTCCTCTTGTGGGCCTCCCTAGACTCTCAGGCTTGGCTCCCTGGAGGACCTGGGCAAGGAGGGAGGGGGCACTGGGGTAGTGAGGGGAGTGGCAGAGGGCAGGGAGGAGTGGACTAGAAGGTGCTGGGCCGTCCCAGGGTGTGAGGGGAGAAGGCAGCGGAACAGTGGAATCTGTGGCTTCTTCTTTTCCAACACAAACTTCCCCTGACCAGCCAGAGGTAGCAAAGTTTGTCTTGTTTTCTTTCTCACAGTCCTCCTGGCTGCCATCAGAACTTGGCCAAGACAGCCAGGCTGGAGGAGGCACAGTCTCTCCTGGCCTCCTGCCAGGTCTCCAGCCGCCCACGTGGACTGGTGGTGCAGCCACGTCCCTCCTCCTGGCTACTCTCTCCTGTCCACTCCTGTCCACCCCATCCTGCCACCCTGGGCTGCCCAGTTCCTCTACTGTCCTGCCCACCTGTGGGCCCTTGAGCTCTAATCTGCCATGCTTTTGGTTTTTTACTGAAACCCTGCCTTCTGTGCTAGATTTTACTCTGGTGCTCACCATTAATCTTTCTCTCAGTGCAGGTGGTGAAGACCTAAAGCTAATGGGGCTTAGGAGGGAAGAGAAGGGCATCAGCTGAGTGCCCACACAGGCCAGGGTCACCTTCAGTGAAGCTGCCAGTTTGGTGACGTCCACAGTACTGCAGGCAGCTCTGCTGTGTTCTACAGCAACAGATTCTGGCCCTGCCCCTGCCCGTGCCCGTGCATTGGACCGGGTGAGAAAGTGTGGGTGGCGTAGACACTCTACACCCGAGAAAATCAAGCTCAAAGCACATGGCTTCCATAGGCAAAAGGTGGGGCTCCCAGCCATGTATTATGAAGCAGGCAGGTCACTGTCCCCTCCGGTCCCCTCCACCCCTCCAGCAGCCCTGTGCTGCTGTGTTTGCTGTGCCAGCCTTTGCCCCCAGTGCACGCTCCTCTGCTGTGTTTTGGAAGTTGCACTGAGAAAGAAGAGAAATTGTTCCTTGCCCTGAGGAGCTGCCATCCAGCTGGGGACACACAGCGTAAGAGAGCAGCCTAGAGTGGAGAAGCGGGTAGGCACTTGGCTTCAGGGAGGTGGCAGGACTTTCCCCGGGCCTTGAGGAATGATGAGAGAAGCACAGAGCAGGCAGCCAGACGTGGGGCCTTGTGGTGCTTCAGGTGTATTTAGAACCAGCGGATGGCGTGGGTTGGTGTGGGACATGCATGTGGAGGACAGTGGTGTGGGAGAAGGGACAGGCTGCTTGGATCGGGATTGTAGATGACCTACAACACCAGGTTAAAAGAATTTGGATTCTATAGGAATTGCAGTAAATGTGAGAGGGTGCAGGGAACCAAACGGCTTTGAATGATCACAAAGGGGGCTGAAGCATGGCGTGCTGTAGTCCCAGCTACCCAGGAGGTGGAGGTGGGAGGAATCCGAGGCCAGCTGGGGCAACTTGAGGGACTCCATAAAGAGGAGGCTTGGGGCACGAGATCCACCATGTACTGACTGCCTGCTGCAGGCGGACACGGTGCCTGGGTATTTAACATGAGTTGTCTTGTTCAATCTTCACAACAGCCCTACAGGGTAAGTGCTTTTTCCCCCTGTTTCACAGATGAGAAAACTAAGTTGAAATTATTTGTCCAAACCAGCTGCTAACAAGCAAAAATGTTTGAAAAAGATTCAAACCCAGGCCTGTTGGACTTCCAGGCCCACATAGATCCTATTACTCTGCAGCTGACACCATGCTATAAATGAATGGCAGAGGTTCATGGACAGGCTTAAGAGGCTCCCTAAACCCTGTAAGGATGTGTGCAAAATTCCTTATGTATATGAATATTTCTAGAGAGAAGATTTCTGCTGTCAAAGCTGGCCAGGTATGGTGGCTCACGCCTGTAATCCCAGCACTCTGGGAGGCCAAGGCAGGTGGATCACTTGAGCTCAGGAGTTTGAGACCAGCCTGGCCAACATGGCAAAACCATCTCTACTAAAAATACAAAAATTAGCCGGGTGCGGGGGCAGGCACCTGTAATCCCAGCTACTCAGGAGGCTGAGGCAGGAGAATCATTTGAACCAGCGAGGCGGAGGCTGCAGTGAGCCGATTTCATGCCACTGCACTCCAGCCTGGGTGACAGAGTGAGACTCCGTCTCAAAAAAAAAAAAGTGAAGAGTTCCTAAGTGAAGGTTACTGGCTCATGAGGTCCCTCCTCCACAGCTTTCCTCCTCTGGGGGCCTGAGAGTCAGGACAGAAGTTCTAGCACAAGTGTTTCACATAGGGGTCCTTGGTAGACCAGGGCTTAGGCTTGGAAGAAGGAAAATGGAGTGAGCACGAGGAAGAGAAAAAGCCTGGAAAAGCAGCTTATTTTGTGCTGAGGAGAGAAGGAAAGGGGCCACCCAGAGCTGCTCTGGGGCTCCAGGGCCTGTGGGCTCCTCCCCTCCTTTGTTCCTCTCTGCTTGGCTCCAGCGAGAGGCCATTTCCTCTCCTCTCTCTTTCTCCATGACACCCACGCTTCCCTGTGGACTCACCTCTGCAGCCACAGCAACACCCTCCTCTCCTTGGCGTGGAAGCCAGCGCTCCTGGCCCACTCCCAGTAGGGGATGTCCTCTGAGTTGTTTTTCCTGTGCGGGGAGGGGTGGACTGAGTCATCCACACTCTTCACCTGGTTCCTCTGGTGACCAAGAACATAGAAGGAGAGGGCACATCCCCAATCAGGTGTTCCGAACATCTCTGCGGGGACTGACCCTCCTCAGCCCAGGTGCTCCCATGGGACTGGCTACACTTCTTGACTCAGTTTTAATCTCTCCTTCTCTGCCTTCCTGTTGGGAATACCCCCTCACTTCTGTGGCTTCTTTCCTGTAGTAGACGATCAAGGGTGGAATCTACAGTCCATGGGCCCTGACTTCTTGCCTTCGTCTCAAATAGACTCTGCAGCCAGCCATCTATGCAGCGCCCCAGTGGCTTTGAAATGCAACAGAAACCATCACCCCCGGACCGTGGGCTCCATGCCAGTGGGCAAAGCACAGGTGCGTTCACTGAGTTCCCAGCACATAGCTGTGGCAGGCACTTGGTGATATTTTGAAATAAAAGAATGGAAGAATGTGTCCAGGCTGTGCTTCCCCTTTCTACCTTACTCAGGGACATGGTGCCCTCCTCTCTGGTTTCCTGCCCTGTGCCCACCCCCCACCCCCTGCAAGCACAGCTCTTATGTGCAAAGCCCCTGTAGGTGCTGGAGGGATTCACTGATGGCCTTGGCGGAGGTGGCAGTGGGCATGTGCACTTGGCTCTGACACAGCCACTCATGCAACACCCTGTGCAATCTCGGCCTGGGCCTGTGTGTCCTGCCCTCATTCCTCGCGGGTGACTGTCTCCCCTGAGCCACTCTTCTCTCTATTGGATTAGCTCCTTTTATTTCCCCCTAGGGATGCAACACATTTTTATGAACAAACAGCAGTGTTCACATGGCTGTGATGAGGACGTACTGGGGTTTCCCCTGGACATGGCATTCATCTGATGCCAGTGGTGGGCAGGACCGTGCTGTATACTTTAAAAAAACCCTAGGGGGTTCTGTTAGGTGCCCCCACTGCAGCATAACGAGTTGCCCCTAGCTGAGAAGCCCTGTCCTGGGGCCTGTCCACACCATCCTCTTCCTGAGATTATTCCTGGTGTGGGCGGTGCTCGGCTCTACCTTTCCTTCCTTCTTCCCTGCTTGGCTCCTGGTCCAATGGCTCTCTCCTCTATGGAATGGCCTCCTGGAGCTTGGCTGGGTCAGCCCCCACTTTCCACTCTTCCCATGCCTGTCCTCACCCTCCCAGCAGCCCTGCCAGCCTCCGACGGGCCCAGGGCACTGCAGCCGGCACTTGGGAGTGAAGACTGGGGCCAGAGCCAGGCTCACCTTTGGCCACTGAATCCTGAAAGAGGAGGAATTTGGCAAGTGGGGTTCTGCCCACCAAGCTTTCTTCCCCCCGCTCCCCTGAGTCTTTTCCCTTCACCCCCACTTCCCAAAAGCAGCAGGGAGTCAGCTGTAGGGCAGTCGCTCCCTGGCCGAAGCCTTCCTGGCTGTTTCCGTCACACCCTGAGGCCACCCCTCTTATCTTGCGAGGAGGGAGGCACACAGAGGCTGTGATTAGCTGTCACAGTAGCAAGACTGTTCCCCTCTCTGTCCTGCGGAGTGAGTGTGAGGGAAAAGAGCTCTCCTTGTCTGCTCATTATGTGCACCTGTTAAATAGTCATTCTTTCCACTAGGGCTATTAGTGGTTTTTATTGTTACTGGTCACCCAGAATTAGAGTCACAGCTTCCTCGACAGGGTGAAAGAGAGCGCCAGGGTGCAGTCTGAACGTGCTCTCGGGAGAGGAGAGGCCGGAAAGACTTGTACCAGGAGGGACTTCTAGGCTGGGCTGGCCCTTGGAGCGCCTAGGAATGGGACTGTGGTGGCCCATCTTCCCTCCTGTGTTCTGGGCTGTCTGAGTGCCTCTGGGTGAGAGTCCTCACAGGAGGGAGCTTCTCCTACTGCCCAGTGTCTCCCTGGCACCTGAGGCATCACCCAGCACACAGAGGTGACCAGGAAACACAGACTCCTGTTAGAGAGGCATCTCGTGTCCCGCTCTGTTCTCTTGGGCCCTGGGACTAGAACATCTTCACCAGAGACCGGCGCCGACTCCTTGGCAGTGTGTAACATTCAGCTCGGTGCCGAGGTCTGCCCGTGCAGGACTGATCTCCATTCTCTCAATGACCCTAGGAGACAGGAATTATTATTATTATTATTATTATTATTATTATTATTATTATTATTATTATTTTGAGATGGAGTTTCGCTCGTAGCCCAGCCTGGCCAACATGATGAAACCCCATCTCTACTAAAAATACAAAAATTAGCCGGGTGTGGTGGTGAACACTTGTAATCCCAGCTACCCGGGAGGCTGAGACAGGAGAATCACTTGAACCCGGGAGGTAGAGGTTGCAGTGAGCTGAGATCGCACCACTGCACTCCAGCCTGGGCGACAAGAGCGAAACTCTGTCTCAAAAAAACACACATACACACACACGTTTGGGACCATCCCTATTTCCTCGCTCTGCCTAAGCTGCGTCACACCATTCATCACTAGGTGACATCCTACTACAGATACCTTGTAAGCATCTGTGTATCTCTCTCCTCCCTCACTGGAAGGCAGCTCCCTGAGGGCAGGGCCCTGATCCCTTTGACTGGCTGTGGTATCCTCTCCTGTAGACCGCTGGCTCATGAAATAATCAGGGAGAGAATGTGTAAATGATGATCGTGAGGTCCACTTGGACAAGCAGCCTGTGCCTGAATTTTCCTGAGGGCTTCAGAGCCTGTCTCGCCTCGCCTCACATGCCTGGCTCACCTTAGAACGGTCACCTTGACGGCTAAAGGGACACCTGTGTGCCTTGATGGTGGACCCAGGGAGTGGATGACATTAGTGAGGGAAAGAGCAAAGGCTCTGGAGGAAAACACCTGAGAGGAGTCTCTAGGCTGCCCTCTGGTGGCAGTTCTTGGAACAAGACCTGAGAGCCGCTACCTTGGCTCTCAGCATTGCACGGGAGTTTAGAGGTTATTAAAGAAATCCCCCTAAAGTCCCATCCCAAGGTCACATACAGAATGAATGGCTAAGTAGCGACAAGAACCCAAGTCACAGTCTGTTGATCTCACTACCATGCTATCCTGCCTGCCCCCATCACAGGAGTTGAGATTATACTGCAAAAGGAAAGGTGGGGATGGGGTGGGGACTGGGGAATTTGGGGAGGGAATTGATTACTGCCTCTGAGGATATTAGGGGGAAAAACCCACAGGAGGTGCATTTGGCTTAATTCAGCAAGTTTTTTGAGTTTTGATTCAGTGCCAGGCACCTGGTGGGCACTTAATTAAAGATTAGCAGGAGAAGAAAAATGTACAGTAAGAGAGCTTAAGTTTATACCAAAGCGAGTCTTGGGTCTAATAATTTTGAAACATGAAATTGGCAGAGAAGTTAGGAGTCCCTCCTGGGCTCCTACGTCAGGGTTTGCCCCCTCTCTAATTTAACTTTTTATCAAATTTTATTGTCATGATGTATATGTTTGTCCTCCCTAAACACAGAGCCCCTTGAGGGCAGGGAGGACTGAAACTGCTTCCTGGGACTGTCACCATCACATAGCACCCCACAGAGCAGATGCTCAATGAATGTTGATTGTGTGGGCAAATGGATGAACAAATGAATGGTTTGGAGTTTCCCTGGCCAGAGAGCTTCAAAGCAGGGCAGACAACCATCTCTTCTGTCTAGTCCAAAGACATCATTCGCTGCCCAAGGCTCAGGGCTGTGCCTGGTGCTTTCTCAAGGTAACTTAGCTTGTATAATTAGATTTTACCGTGATACTAGTTCTAGGTTCTTTTTTTTTCATTGGCCAAGCATTTAATAACTATCTGTCATGTCCAAGGTTCTGGGCTATTGTTCTGTAAATCTGTGATCCTATTCTGTTATTTAATTCCGTGACTCTGTGTTGACATAGACGTGACGGTGTCCCTGGGGCATTTACTCCTAGGTGAGCTTAGCCAAGGCAGGTAGAGAGGAACCAGCATTGTCTAATCTGAATGGATAAGCCAGCACAATGGGTTTCCCTGTGCAAATACCTCCATACCATCCAGGCCCACTCAGTCTCCTCCCCAGCTAATGAAGACAGCCTGTTTGAGTGCCAAAATCCACTGCCTATTAATAGGTACTAAAATCTCCAATTGCCTTATGCCTCCCCCTTCTCTTTCCCACTCACCTACCTGCCATGTCAGCCTGGGAAGAATTGGTTTGCAGCCAGGCAGTCCTCCATCCAGTCTTGACTTTGGCACTTGTGATATGACTTGCACAGGTGAGTTACCTCTCTCAGTGTTGGTTCCTCGTCTGTGAAATGGGGCTAATCATTTGCTTTATTGAGTGCCTTCTAGGCTGGGTACTAGGAGAGAAGGAAGGGATACAAAGAAAGACAAGGCACAGTTGCTGTCTTCAAGAAGCTCATACTTTCCAAGGAAATAAAGGCATGGAAACCCACATAGTGCTGTGGAATTAAAGAAGGCAGCATGCTGTAAAGAGCCCCAGCTTTTTCCCTAGACAACATCAGGGGCTCAGTTCCTTTCCCTCCTTTCTCTCTTCTTTAAGAATTTCTCTTAGCTGGACATGGTGGCACATGCCTGTGGTCCCAGCTACTCAGGACGCTGTGGTAGGAGGATCCCTTGAGCCCAGGAGGTCAAGGCTGCAGTGAGCTGTAACTGCACCTCTGCACTGTCCAGCCTGGGCGACAGAGCAAGAACCTGTCTCAAAAAATAAAAAATTAATTAATTAATTAATTTTTTTTCCTCCTAACTAATTCCACGTTATTGGCTTGAGGGTCAGTTTGAGGGGTCCAGACCTCCTTCTTCCTTTCTATCCTTAGCTTCCTGCCACAGTATACCCAGAGATGTATGTGTTTCTCCCCACCCTAGGCACAATTTTTTTTTTTTTTCTGAGACAGCTCTGTCATCCAAGCTGGAGTGCAGTGGTGCAATCATATCTCACTCCAGCTTCAACCTCTCATGCTCAGGTGATCTTCCTGCTGAGTAGCTGGGACTACAGGCATGCACTACCATGGCCTGGCTAATTGTTTGTTTTTTTTTTTGAGATGGAGTCTCACTCTGTCGTCCAGGCTGGAGTGCAGTGGTGCGACCTCGGCTCACTGCAACGTCCGCCTCCCGGGTTCACGCCATTCTCCTACCTCAGCCTCCCGAGTAGCTGGGACTACAGGCGCCCGCCACCTCTCCCGGCTAATTTTTTTTGTATTTTTAGTAGAGACGGGGTTTCACCGTGGTCTCGATCTCCTGACCTCGCGATCCGCCCACCTCGGCCTCCCAAAGTGCTGGGATTACAAGCGTGAGCCACTGCGCCTGGCAACCTGGCCAAATGTTAAACATTTTTTTTGTAGAGGTGAGGTCACACTATGTTGCCCACACTGGTATCAAACTCCTGAGCTCAAGCGATCCTCCTGCCTTGGCCTCCCAAAGTGCTAGGATTACAGGTGTGAGCCACTGTGCCTGGCCCTTTTTTAATTTTAATTTTTTTTTTTTTTAGAGATGGGGTCTTGCTGTGTTGCCCAGGCTGGCTTTGACCTCCTGAGCTCAAGCAATCTTCCACCTCAGCCTCTGGAATAGCTGGGATTACAGGTGCGCCCTACCATGTTCAGCTAACTTATTTTGTTTGTTCAGAGACAGGGTCTTGTTATGTTGCCCAGGCCCAGGCACAGTTCTAATAGAGGAGAGAGACTTTCAGATATGAGCTCCTGCACTTGGCACCAAGATCTTCCCTAATTTTCCCCCGACCTGTCTCTCCAACATGTCTCTCTCTTCTTCGGGTTATTTTACTCCAATCATTCCGATCTACTCTTTGTTAATTGGGCCCTTCATTAAATAATTTAGCCTTTCACAAAACACACATTAAGTGTGCATGACGGCCCAGGCACTGTATTCTCTGTCAGGGTTACACAGATGAATAAAGAGCTGGGATGGGCCAGGCGCGGTGGCTTATGCTTGTAATCCCAGCACTTTGGGAAGCCAAGGCTGGTGGATCACGAGGTCGGGAGTTCAAGACCAGCCTGGCCAACATGGTGAAACCCCGTGTCTACTAAAAAAAAACTACAAAAATTAGCCAGGTATGGTGGCGGGTGCCTGTAATCCCAGCCATGTGGGAGGCTGAGGCAGGAGAATTGCTTTAACCCAGGAGGCGGAGGTTGCAGTGAGCCAAGATCGTGCCATTGCACTCTAGCCTGGGTGAAAAGAGCAAGACTCCGTCTCAAAAAAAAAAAAAAAAAAAAAAAAGAGCTGGGATGATGTAGTGGTTAAAATCAGTGTTGTTAGCATAGCACAGACCTAAATTGAAATCCCAGTTCTGCCATTTGTCCCCTGTGTGACCTTGCATGGGTCACTGTACCTCTCTAGGCCTGTTTCTGTCTTCTGTGAAATGATCATGATAGCATTGTTATGCAAATTAAACGAGAGCTTAAGCTGTAGAGCATTTACCAACAGTGCCCTATGGCACATGCGCAGTAGAAAGTAGTTGCAATAGTGTGTAGCAAATACTTTGCATCCTAGGTTGGATTCCCCAGAAGCAGGCCCTGAGACAAAGATTCAAGTAAAAGAGATTTATTTAAAACTAATGAGAAGTTGGGCAGGGTGGCTCACGCCTATAATCCCAACACTTTGAGAGGCGGAGGCAGGAGGGTTTCTTGAGCTCAGGAGTTTGAGACCAGGTTGGGCAATATAGTAAGACCCAATCTCTACAAAAAAAATTAGCCAGACGTGGTGGCATGCGCCTGTGATCCAGCTACTTGGGAGGCTTAGGTGGGAGGATCGCTTAGGTCCAGGCTTCAGTGAGCTGTGATCGTGCCACTGTACTCCAGCCTGGGCAACAGAGTGAGAACTGTCTCAAAAATAAATAGGCCAGGCACAGTGGCTCATGCCTGTAATCTCGACACTTTGGGAGGCCAAGGCGGGCAGATCACCTGAGGTCAGGAGTTTGAGACCAGCCTGGCCAACATGGTGAAACCCTGTTTCTACTAAAAATACAAAAATTAGCTGGGCATAGTGGCGCATGCCTGTAATCCCAGCTACTCAGGAAGCAGAGGCAGGAGAATCGCTTGAACTCAGGAGGCGGAGATTGCAGTGGGCTGAGATCACACCACTGCATTCCAGTCTGGGCAACGAGAGGGAGACTCCGTCTCAAAAATTGAATAAATAAATAAATAAATAAATAAAAGTAATGAGGGGACTGGGCATGATGGCTCACACCTGTAATCCCAGTGCTTTGGGAGGCCAAGGCAGGAAGATTGCTTGAGTCCAGGAGTTCCAGACCAGCCTGGGCAACATGGCAAGACATCATTTCTGCAAGAAATTAAAAAATTAGCCCAGTGAGTGGAGTGCATCTATAGTACCAGCTACTCAGAAGGCTGAGGCAGGAGGACCACTTGAGCCCAGGAGGTTGAGACTGCAATGAGTTATGATTGTGCCACTGCACTTTAGCCTGGGTGACAGAGTGAGACCCTGTCTTAAAAAAAAAAAAAAGTAATGAGGGTGGGGAGGAGTGGAAAGGGAGTGGGAAAGTGGGACCCAAGCACATGAGTGGAACCAAGCTAAGTCTCATGGAGGGCTGGGGTACTGACACCTTCATATTTGTCCACCGTTGGTTAAGGCCTGGGGGCGGGCTGGGGGAGTGGGAGGGTGGTGGCATGTGAGGATGTGGGAGAGAAAAATTTCCAAGTGCTTCCAGCTCTCTGCCCCTGGAAAAGGTCCCGGCAGAGGCATAGGCGGGGCTGTTGGGAGTGATTTAGCACTCTGGGAGTCCGTAGGCACAAAAATGGTAAAGGGGTTCAAGAAGAAATGCGTAGAACACAGTCCCTGCCTCACAAGGTTCATGGCCTGGGAAGGGAAGACAGACATGAATAAATCATTGCCATAGGGTGACTGGGGTGAAGGGCGTTGGGGGTCGGGTGGGGTGCGGGAAGGAGTGGTGTAGGCAGAGGCATCCCTGAGGAGAAATGCAGCTGGTTTGGGAGAGGACGGCCATTCCAGACATAGGGAACAGCACACACGAAGGCTGATGCACATACGCGCAAGGGCTGGTCCCTAGAGCTGGTGGTTCTGGCCACGAGAGCTCATCACCTGGGGGCAGCTTCTGTACCTGCACCCTGTATGAGGCTCCGGGTCTGCCCTTCCTGGTCCATCCTCCAGACACACTGCCTGTTCTTCTCTCAGGTCCCGCTCCGGGCCCTCCTCCCAGAAGCCTCCCCTGACTAGTCCAGCTCACCGTGACTCTTCTGAACTCACGGCGTTTACTGCCAAGGCTATTACATTGGCGCTCGCTCATGTCATTATTAGGAAATATGCATTTTTACTGTCTTTGATGTTATTTAAACTTGCCTGTAAATTCTGTCTCTCTCAATTTTAAGTTCTGAGTAGAAACTACATATTTTTATTATTTATATTCTTATATTCTCCCATGGCACCCGGCATTCGTGGACACATTGAGGAAGTAAGATAATGAATGAATGAATGGGTGAATCCAGTCCAGCTTGGGGCCTATTTAATTCTACTAGGCTCAACCTACAATTCTTATGTGTTCTCAGATTATTCCTAAACCCTAAGCTTAGTTTTGTTTCATTCGGACCACATGTAGTTTTTTTTTGTTTTTTGTTTTCTGAGACGGGGTCTTGCTCTGTCGCCCAGGCTGCAGTGCAGTGGCACGATCTTGGCTCACCGCAACCTCTGCCTCCCAGGTTCAATGGATTCTCCTGCCTCAGCCTCCTGAGAAGCTGGGATTACAGGCGCCCGCCACCATGCCCAGCTAATTTTTTTGTATTTTTAGTAGAGACAGGGATTCACCATGTTGGTGAGGCTGGTCTCGAACTCCTGACCTCAGGTAATCCACCCGCCTCAGCCTCCCAAAGTGCTAGGATTACAGGTGTGAGCCACCACGCCTGATCTCATGTGTAGTTTTTTGGTTTTTTATTTGTTTGTTTTTTTGAGATGGAGTCTCGCTCTGTCGCCCAGGCTGGAGTGCAGTGGCACAATCTCGGCTCACTGCAAGCTCCACCTCCCAGGTTCACGCCATTCTCCTGTCTCAGCCTCCCGAGTAGCTGGGACTACAGGCGCCGGCCACCATGCCCAGCTAATTTTTTTTGTATTTTTTAGTAGAGACTGGGTTTCACCATGTTAGCCAGGATGGTCTCGATCTCCTGACCTCGTGATTCGCCCGCCTTGGCCTCCCGAAGTGCTGGGATTACAGGCGTGAGCCACCGCGCCCGGCCTCTCATATGTAGTTTTTAATGAGAGTTACCACATAAGCAAACTGGGTTCTAAGTGGTGAAATTTAAGGTTATGCAACCTCAGTTTCTTTTAACCCCTCTTCATCCCTAACCCTGGTCGGATACTTGATTGACAGTAGACCATTGGGATCTCTGAGCTCCTGTCCTTCTAACCTGATTGCCTCTTTAAAGGATTTTGAAAAACTATGTCCCTTGCACATTTGTATTGTTTTGAGACACGGTCTCACTCTGTTGCCCAGACTGGAGTGCAGTGGTGCCATCTTGGCTCACTACAGCCTCAACCTCCCAGGGTCAAGCAATCTTCCCACCTCAGCCTCCTGAGTAGCTGGGACTACAGGTGCGGGCCACCACATCTGGCTAATTTCTTAAATTTTCTGTAGAGACAGTTTTGCCATGTTGCCTAGGCTGGTCTCAAACTCCTGGCCACAAGCAATCCACCCGATTCGGCCTCCCGAAGTGCTGGTATTACAGGCATGAGCCACCTCGCCCAGCCCCTTGCACATTTTTAAGTCAACATTTAACATTTGTAATAATTTAATAGCATTCCAAAGGGTAGGCTTTTCAGGGAATTGCAAATACATGTTAAAAATCACATCACTATTTATGTATTTATTTATTTATTTATTATTTTTGAGATGGAGTCTCACTCTGTCTCCCAGGCTGGAGTGCAGTGGTGCGATCTCGGCTCACTGCAACCTCTGCCTCCCAGGTTCAAGCAATCCTCATGCCCTAGCTTCCCGAGTAGCTGGGATGCCCAGCTAAGTTTTTTGTATTTTTAGTAGAGACAGAGTTTCACCATTGTCCAGGCTGGTCTTGAATTGCTGACCTCAAGTGATCTGCCTACCTCAGCCTCCCAAATGCTGGGATTACAGTCGTGAGCCACCATGCCTGGCCATGTCAGTTTTTAAAATTAAAAACAATTTGTTGTGCTCAGTCTGTCGGAGACTGCACGTCACTCTAAGTGTAGCAAATTGAATATAATGCCATAGAACTTTCATATCTGTTAGCATCCTTTTAAAAAATACGTGAACAAGCCCTTGAACAAGTGTTAGAAACAGTTATTCTATTTGTATTGCAATTATTGCAGTTAACCAAAACTAGGAATATTCACAAGGATTAAACATAAAAAGTTGGTCAGGCGCGGTGGCTCGTGCCTGTAATCTCAGCACTTTGGGAGGCCAAGATGGGCCGATCACTTGAGCTCTGGAGTTTGAGACAAGCCCGGGCAACACGGTAAAACCCCATCTCTAAAAACGAAACAAAACTAAACTAAACAAATACAAAAAATTAGTCAGGGGTGGTGCACCTGTAGTCTCAGCTACGCCAGAGGCTGAGATAGGAGGATTGCTTGAGCCCAGGAGGTTGAAGCTATACGAGCCATGATCGTGCCACTGCACTCCAGCCTGGATGACAGATGGAGACCCTGTCTCAAACAAACACACAAAAAGACATGAAAAGTAACTTATTGAAAATGCATCTCTTGGCCAGGCGTGGTGGTTTACACCTGTAATCCTAGCACTTTGGGAGGCCAAGGCAAGCAGATCCCATGAGATCAGGAATTCGAGACCAGCCTGGCCAACATGGCAAAATCCCATCTCTACTAAAAATAGAAAACTTATCTGGGTGTGGTGGCACACACCTGTAATCCCAGCTACTCGGGAGGTTGAGGCAGGAGAATCACTTGAATCCAGGAGGCGAAGCTTGCAGTGAGCTGATATCTGTCGTGCCACTGCACTCCAGCCTGGGCGACAGAGAGATAATACGTCTCAAAAAAAAAAAAAAAAGAAAAGAAAGAAAATGAATCTCTTAATGAGATGGGAAAGGTTGATTTGTTTCCTATTGACCTTTGGCGGCTCTGGGAAGGGCACTCTGGTCAGGCCCAGGACAAGCAGGAGATTCATTCTAGCGGGGGGCACATATTAATCTGGAAACTGATTCCCTTAAAACTGGTCCTGCCGACACACCCCTGGGAAGGTTTGCATATACCACTAGGGGTATCCAAGCCATAGGCCATTAAACAGAGATGAAACTTGCCTTCCCATTCTTTAATATAGTGTTCTCAGAAAGGGAGAAATGTGGGCCTGAATGTTATTGTGACTTGCATAGTGACATTTCCAACCCTCCTCCTGCTAAGCCCCAGAGCCTTACATGCTGGACATGGGCAAGATAGGAACTCAAGTTACTTCCAGGTCTCCGTAAGTTTAGGACTGTGAAGAGGGCATCCTAATAGTCAAAAACATAAGTGTTGGCCGGGCACGGTGGCTCACGCCTGTAATCCCAGCCCTTTGGGAGGCCGAGGCGGGGAGATCACGATGTCAGGAGTTCGAGACCAGCCTGGCCAACATGGTGAAACCCCATCTCTACTAAAATACAAAAATTAGCCGGGCATGGTGGTGCGCACCTGTAATCCCAGCTACTCAGAAGGCTGAGGCAGGAGAATGGCTTGAACCCGGGAGCCGGAGGTTGCAGTGAGCCGAGATCGTGCCATTGCACTCCAGCCTGGGCATAGAGTGAGACTCCATCTAAAAAAAAAAGAAAGAAAAAGAAGAAAGAAGCCGGGCGCTGTGGCTCACGCGTGTAATCCCAGCACTTTGGGAGGCCCAGGCGGGCAGATCACGAGGTCAGGAGATCGAGACCACTCTGGCTAACACGGTGAAACCCCGCCTCTACTAAAAAATACAAAAAATTAGCCTGGCGTGGTGGCGGGCGCCTGTAGTCCCAGCTACTCGGGAGGCTGAGGCAGAATAGCGTGAACCCGGGAGGCGGAGCTTGCAGTGAGCCGAGATCGTGCCACTGTACTCCAGCCTGGGCGACAGAGCGAGACTTCGTCTCAAAAAAAGAAAAAAACAAATAAATAAAAATAAATGAAAAAGACCCTAAGTGTTAGTTAAAGCAGCAGCCTAGATTCAGAGTTAAGAAAACATGATTTTTATTTTTCCGTTTCATGGAAGCAGCAGCTGTCTACTGATAGTTCCTGCCGCCGGCCACCAGGTGGCAGAAGGGAACACAGTACCGTAGCCCTGCCCCAGCGATCGCGCGGGCAGGAAGACCGGGTGGGAGGTAGGTGGGGCCGAGGCCTGGAGGCGAGGTAGGAGAGTAGGCTTAGGCTGTCAGAGGAAAAAACGGGCGATGTGAGGACTAAGTATGGATCTCAGGAGGGGACAGGAAATATTGAGAACACCACCTTACGGGTTCAGAATAAAACCGAGGGAATGAGGAAGAGGTTTAAGGAGATAGGCTAAATTGGGAAGAATTCACGGGGAATCAGAGGGTGGAGAGGGCGTGGGTGCCTGGAGATGCCTGGGAACAGAACGGCTGAGGGGACTCCATTATCTGTACTCTTCCCGGGGTGGGTCTAGGTCTGGCTCCTCCTGAGGTCGGTTGTCCACCTCAGGGGCAGGAGGCCAGGGGTTTTCTGGGGGCTGGGGTCCTGCCGGCCAAGGGTCGTCAGGCCGGGGAGGTTGAGGAGGATCCGTTCTAGGCGGTTCAGGGGGCCAGACTCCAGTTTCAGGCAGGTCTCTCCAGGGACGACTGGGGCGGGTAGGCGGAGGATCTTCAAAGAGAGGGGGTGCCCCTGGCCAAGGGTCACCGGGGACTGGGGGGCCCTGAGGCAATGTTGGGGAGCCTGCCTCCTCTCGGTCCTCTGCGGGTGGGTGAGAGGGGTGGCCCTCGCTGCCTGAGATGCCTGTAAAGGAGGAAGGAGAAAGGTAAGAGGTGGTGAGGGCTTCTCTCCCCAGCCCCACCCAGCCCCAGCCCCAGGAGGAGGAGCCTGTCTGGACGGACGCAGCCTGAACTGACCCACAAACAGACCAAAAAAGTCACTCTCAAAGAGCTCTCGGTAGGTTTGTAAATACTTAACTGATGGTAAAATGTCATGAACCCCTACCCCCGATGGATCTGAACCGTTCACTTGACCCACTTTAAACTGACCAGACTTCTCCAAATAAGCTCCATCCACCCCTGGTTGGGGTACCCCACTAGCTTTGTCCTCAGGCCAACCTGCAACCCAAGGTGGGTTACACCTTGGCCCCCAGGCACACAGACCCCAGCTTTACAAGGACCCCAGCTCCTTAACACAGATCCCAGCTCCAAGGAAACTCGTCCCCCCCACGTTAATCCTGACCGACTTTGCCACATGGAGCCAGCAAACCATTTCTGGTGAGAGCCAAATGCACCTTCTGCACCATGTCCCCCACCCAATGTGTCCAGAAAGCCATTTCTGGTGAGCCAGATGCACCTTCTGCGTCCCCTGAATTCCTGTCCCCAACCCCATGCGTCCAGTTCACCTCCGCCATCTTGAGTATCCCTCATCACCCCAAACTGCAGTCCCTGCCTCTGTTCCCACCTCACCTCTGGTGTGCAGGCAAAGGACCAGGATCCCCAGGAGCTTCCAGTTGAGGATCATGGCTATGTACTGGCCCCCAAAGCTGGGGTGGGCTGAGTCTGGGTGCCTGGGAACCCCAAGAGGCTTTATAGGGGAGGAGTGGAGGAGGGACCAGCCCAGTGGCACAGGAATACCATCAGAACAGAACTGGTCAAACCCGTTGGGAAGGCCTGGGCTGATGTGTCACCCCTGAAGGTGGCGTCCCTTATTTTAGTCCTCCAGCCCAGGACCCAGCTGCCTGCTCTCCCTATCATGACCCAGAGCCTGCGTCACCCCACCCTGGTTTTCACACCCTCCATCCACACCCTGGAGCAGTCAATACCCACTTGGCATCTCCGTAATCACAGAGATGTCCACCTTCATCCCTTGCAACTATTGGAAGCCAAAGAATGGGAGCAAACCACACGATGGGCGTTGGGAAGCACCGTAATTACAGGGTTGGGAGGCAGGATGCCTGCGCTGGGGGAGGAGGTGCCTTTCAAACCTGGGATGCAGCTGGGACAGTGTCAGCTACTACCCCAGCCTCCCCACTCACCCCCGCACTGAAAGCTCCCCCTGGGGCTTCGTGCTTTCCTGGGCACTTCCCTTCCCCCATGGGATCCAGGCATCCTGCTCTCCACCATGTCCTTCTTCAGGCATGCAGGGGACCTCCAAGCAATGATATCCAAGGAATTCCATCTGGCAGCCACCCAGGATGACTGCAGAAAAGGAAGGACACAGGAGGATATCCTGGTTCCCTCTTCCCACCCAGAGCTGTTTGCATCAGTCCTGCCAATGGCTCCGGAAGAAGCTGCCAGGCTCCAGCAACCTCAGCCCCTTCCTCCTCCCTCAGGAATCCACCTATCCGCCTCTAGGACCTTGGCTCCAACTCTATTGTACTCGTCTCCTCCCTCCCATTCTCCTTTTGGTCTCAGCTCCTTGATCTAAGCCTCCCAGAGAGACCCCTAGAATGTTTCCCTCAAGGACCTTTCTGCCTGGAAGTCTGTTAGCCTTTCAGAAGTAACATGTCCAAAATAAAATTTGATTCCTCCCAGGTTGTTCCCTGCCTGGTCCGCTACCCCACAGTAAGGAACACCTTATTATGCAATGGCGTGATCTCATCTGTTCCCTCCAGGGCTCACGCAGAAACCTTCGTTACACTCCTCCACCATCCACCTGCAAGCCCCTCCACACCCTGTCCAAACCCAGCCCATCATCCTGAGCCACCATCTCCCCTGAGCCTCCCCAACACCCTTCTAATTGGCCCCCTTGCTCCCACTGTTTATCCCTCCCCCTCACACAAAGCCTGTCCTCCACCAGCAAAAGAGGTCTTAAAATATACATCACGCGGGCCTGGTGTGGTGGCTCGCGCCTGTAATCCCAGCACTTTGGGAGGCCGAAGCGGGCAGATCACCTGAGGTCGGGAGTTCAAGACCAGCCTGACCAACATGGAGAAACCCCGTCTCTACTAAAAATACAAAAATATTAGCCGGACATGGTGGCACATGCCTGTAATCCCAGCTACTCAAGAGGCTGAGGCAGGAGAATCGCTTGAACCCAGGAGGCAGAGGTTGTGGTGAGCTGAGATCACACCATTGCACTCCAGCCTGGGCAACGAGTGAAATTCCGTCTCAAAAAAAAAAAACATATATATATATATCAGGCCAGGCGTAGTGGCTCATGCCAGCACTTTGGGAAGCTGACACAGGAGGACCACTTGAGCTCAGGAGTTGTGTGCGCTGCTTCACCTGCAGCAAGACTGTGGGCAACACGTGGGAGGCCTACCTGGGGCTGCTGCAGTCCAAGTACGCTGATGGGGACGCCCTGGGCCTGAAGCACCACAGCCGCTGCCTGCCGCATGCTGCTGGCCCACGTGGACCTGATGCGGAAACTGCTCAATTATGCCCTCCTGGGGAAGTGACCTGGTTAGACCCACCCATCTGCTGCGCTGGGTGCCGGGAGCAATCGCTGACCACAGTGCGTGGATATGTGTACCTCACTCTGGAAGGGACCATCCAGTAAGTCCCTCAGGAAAAAAAATGTACACCAAATCATGTTGCGTCTTCCCTTTGTTTGGGGAGTGAGGACAGGTTCTCGCTCTCTTAGGCTGGGGTGCAGTGGTGCGATCACAGCTCATTGCAGCCTCAACCTCTTGGGCTCAAACAATCCTCCCAACTCAGCCTCTGGAGTAACTAGGACCATGGGTGCACGCCACCATGCCCTCCAATGTTTTTTATTTTTATTTTTTATATAGATGGAGTCTCCCTATGTTGGCTGGTCTCAAACTCCTGGGCTCAAGCGATCCGCTCACCTCGGCCTCCCAAAAAAGTGCTGGGATTCAGCTACTCCGGAGGCTGAGGCAGGAGAATTGCTTGAACCTGGGAGGTGGAGGTTGCAGTGAGCTGAGATTGTGCCACTGCACTCCAGCCTGGCAACAAGAGCAAAACTGTCTCAAAAAAAAAAAGTGCTGGGATTACAGGCGGGAGCCACAACACCGGGCCCCCTTCCCTGTTTTTTTTTTTTTTTTTTAATTCTTCTTCTTTTTTTGAGGCTGAGTCTCGCTCTGTCACCCAGGCTGGAGTGCAGTGGCATGATCACGGCTCACTGCAACCTCCACCTCCCGTGTCCAAGCAATTCTCCTGTGTCAGCCTCCTGAGTAGCTGGGACTACAGGCTCACACCACCACACCTGGCTAATTTTTTGTATTTTAGTAGAGACGAAGTTTCACCATGTTGCCCAGGCTGGTCTCAAACTCCTGAGCTCAGGTGATCCGCGTGCCTCAGCCTCCCAAAGTGTCAGGATTACAGGCGTGAGCCACCACACCTGGCTTTCTTCCCCGTTTTTAAAGAAGTACTCCAATGGCTTTCTATTGACTTACAGTAAAATCCAAACTTGGCCACATCTCGGCCTCGCAGCAGCATCCTTGAGCATTCTCTACAGAGACCTCCTGGCCTCCACAGGAGCCCACTTCAGGCAGGCCTCTGCACAAGGTCCCCTGCTCAGAGGCCTCTCCCCAGAGTCAGTTTCTATCATATCATCGTACTGTACTTTCTCTTCAAGCACTTATTTGAAACGATCTCGTTCATCTGTTTAGGTCCCATCTGCTCGCTCGCTCTCCCACTAGGATGTAGGCTCTCAGGGTCCAAGTGGCCCCCAGGCTAATACAGTGCCTGGCTCTGACATTCCTGTTGAACGAGTGAATGTTTCATCTTCCCCACTCCTAGCATTTATCATCTTCCAGAAGAAAAGAGTTTTAAAACAAAAGTTGAGAATAAAGAAAAGCAGGAGCTTCCCAAACATTTCCAAAGCTGCCTAGAAAAAGGATTTGAAAAGGTGCCACCCATAGAGAGAGCTATGGGTGGGACCACTTCTCACAATCTCCAAGAGAGATGGCTGCAGGGAGAATTCCCACAGATTCCCAGAAATAACATTTCCAAACAATGGCTCCTTCTGTAGTCGTCTTTATTTAGAGCAGAATTCAGACTCAGCTGGTATCCCCCAGGGCAACCCCAGGATGGGGAAGGGCTGGTCTGTCCCCACCCACTTCTCCAGGATCCTCCCAGCCCCCAGGCTGGCTTTCCCTCCAACTGTCAGCTGCTTAGCTGCTCATCTGGGGATTGGAGCTGGAGCATCTGTCAAGGTTGTCTCCTTGACAAACAGCTTCCTCTTTGGAAATGGCTTCACTCAGGTCCTGCAGGTCATCGAGCAGGACAGAGAGGGACCCTGGGAAGGAAGACAGCAGATGAGCACCAGACAAGGGAAGGTGCTCGTGGTTACAGAGGAAACAGGGCTGGCACAGGAAATGAGGAATGGGAGAGAGGAGGCTCTTTGGTCCAAGCTGGGCATCGCTAAAAGAGGCTAAGGGCCTCGAAGGACCGCAGAGAACAACACTCATCATGCCAGAGTCTGAAGAGGAGATTCCTGAAGTGCGCGCATTTGTCCCTTGTCCCTTTGTGCTTGGCCCAAGACCTTTTATGGACTCCCTGGTGGGCACTGCTGCTGCTACAGGTGCAGATGCTGAACACTCTGGAGGCCTGGGGCTGGACACCACAGATTTCTTCTTATCCAGTAGGGAAGGAAGAACTGTCAACAGTCGCTGCTGCTTGTAACGGGAGAGGAGACCTTCCTGCTGCAAGGTGGCCTGGGAAGGAGAGGGTTAAACCTAGCCCGGATAGAGCCTCCCTCACCATCCTCTTTCCACACCTCTAGCCCAGGAACCAGCCCAGGATGGGCCCTAGTGTCTGCCTGTCTGCCCTCCTGTCTCCTACCAGCATGAGGTTCTTATCCCTCTCTAGCTCCTGCAAGCGCCGGGCCAGTCGCTGCCCCTCCTCCTTCCGGGCCTCCTCCTGCAGACGCCTGAGTTCCTGGCTCCGCTCCTTTTCCTGGGCGGCTCTGCGCTGAATCTGGCGCAAGGAGACCACTACAGAGAGGCCAAGGCACAGAGGAGGCAGGTGTGAGTCAGGCCAGAGGCAGCCAGGCACCATGAAGACAGGAACAAACGCTGGGTCACCAACTCTGTGGCTTGGGGAGGCTGTTCTGCTCTGTGGATCTGTCTCTTCTGTACAGTTGGAGGGGTGGGCTGATGCTCTAGGAGCCTGGGAATCTGAACCTAAGTATCTTCCTCATCCCTGAACCATCCTGGAGTTCCTCAGGGGAAATCTGAACATGAACTGGGTTAGATTTTGTGCAATTAGTGTTCACTGTCTTAAAGTGTGATGATTGCAGCTATATAGGAGAATTTACTGGCTTTGGGAGATGCGGCTGAACAACTTATGTTTACAACTTACTTAGGCGTGGTGGCTCACGCCTATAATCCCAGCACTTTGGGATGCCAAAGCGGGCGGATCACGAGGTCAGGAGCTCGAGACCATCCTGGCCAACATGGTGTAATCCCGTCTCTACTGCAAATACAAAAACTAGCTGGGCATGGTGGTGGGCGCCTGTAATCCCAGCTACTTGGGAGGCTGAGCCAGGAGAATGGCTTGAACCCGGGAGGCAGAGGTCACAGTGAGCCAAGATCATGCCACTGCACTCCAGCTGGTGACAGAGGAAGACTCTGTCTCAAACAACAACAACAACAAAACATTAAATGATTACAACTTAAAGTGATTCAAAAGATGTACAAATATGTGTGTATATAGATAAGAGACCAAATGTGGCAAATGTTAACTGCTATATTTAGTTAGAGAAGATACATTCATTACACAATTCTTTTTTTGACACATGGTCTTTCTCTATCACCCAGGCTTGAGTGCAGTGGCACAATCTTGGCTCACTGCAGCCTCGACCTCCCGGGTTCATGTAGTCTTCCCACATCAGCCTCACAAGTAAGCTTGGGGTACAGGTGCCCACCACCAGGCCTAGCTAATTTTTGTATTTTTAGTCGAGACAGGGTTTCGCCATGTTGTCCAGGCTGGCCTCAAACTCCTGACCTCAGGTGATACACCCACCTCGGCCTCCCAAAGTGCTTGGATTACAGGCATAAGCCACCGCGACCGGCCATATGCTGTTTCTTAATCTGGTGCTGGCTACATGGGTGTGTTCACGATGTGATAATTCATCTGTGCTACTCCTGGATACCTTCATTACTTCCTGTAATGAAGCTTTGAACACACTTTGAGGGGAAAATAATAACCTTATGTCTTAACACTTCCTTCTTCCTGGAAGGCCCTATCCACCCTGGCAAGGCTCACCGGCCTTGGCATGCTCCCTCCGAGCCTCGTTCAGCCTCCTCTCTGTGTCTGAGAGTTGCTCCCGCAGCCGAGTTTCCACTTCAGCCACCTTTTCTTGCAGGGCTGGGGTGAAAGTGCAGACGGGGCATATCAGCAGGAGCTTTGATTCGCAGTTCCCACCCCACCCTCCAAGGGAAGCACCCATTTCCCTCTCGACACCTTGCCCGTAGAGTTCCTGCTGCTGGGTCAGCTCCTGCCGCAGACTGGCAGCCTCCTCTGTGCTCTCCTGCTGGCCCTGGCGTGCTACCTCCAGCTGCAGCCCCAAGCTAGCCAGGGACTCCTGGGTCTGCTGCAGCTCCTGCTCCAGCTGCTGGGCCACCTTGCTCAGCTGCTGCCGCTCTGCCTCCCCTAAAAGGAGGGGGTGCTGGGTCAGGCCTCTCCCAGCACCCTAGACACTGGGTTTTTCCTCATCCTCTCCACCCTCTGGCAACCAGGTGTACCTTGCTCCCGAGCCCGGCCCACCTCCTGCTGGATGAGGCGGGCACTCAGCTGCAGTTCTGCATCCAGGCGGTTCCGTTCTTCCCGCAGCTGCTGCAACTCAAGGCTCACATCTGTGACCGGTGGTGGTAGGGGACAGCTGGGACGGGGAAGAGAAAGAGTCAGGAGAAATAACCCAGCTGCCTGATCCCAAAGCCCCCATCCCACCTCAGTCCTCATGGTTTTGGGGGTCCCAGCAGCCAATGCCCTAAAGCCCCATCCACCTCAAAGTGCACAAACTTCACCTCTCCTGGCGCAGCTGAGCAAGGGCAAGCTTTCGAGCAATCAGGCCTGGAGGGGAAAAAGCAGGGAGAAAAAGAGATGAAGTTTGCATGGGAGAAAGTGGGGACAGGGAGTAAGGGAAAAAGAGATGCAAGGACTGGTGAAAGGAGGAAGGTGAATGGATGTGGGATCAGAGAGAGCTGGGTCAGGAAGAAGAAAGTCCGAGCTGGTGGGGTGGGGGCAGGACGTGGCTCGCAGTTGTCCTACGCACCCCGAATGGTGTGGACCTTGCGGACAGCATAGCTGAGTCGGTTGTTGAGGCTGGGAAGCTGGGCGGCAGCCCCTTCCACCTTAGCCATGGTGGTCTCGAGCCAGATCTGAGAGCTGGAGAGGGCACAAGTCACTGATCCTCCATGCCTCCCCTCATTCCCAAAGGACTTGCTGTGCCTTGTATAGACAACTCCCTCTAATCCTGTCCCATTATACAAGTACAGAACGCACAGCTTCCGTCAATTATCTAAAGGACCCTTGCCCCAAGAATGCATTAAATGACTATCTTTTTAAGCAACCTGTTAAGCTTATTTCTCACAACTGTGTTTTGCTCACTATCGTGTATCAAAGAGTAAAGTTATCCTCTCTGGTCAGGGGCAGTGGCTCCTGCCTGTAATCCCAGCACTTTGGGAGGCCGAGGCGGGCGGATCACCTGAAGTCAGGAATTGGAGACTAGCCTGGCCAACATGGTGAAACTCTCTCTACTTAAAAACACAAAAATTAGCCGGGCATGGTGGCTCATGCCTGTAATCCCAGCTACTCCAGAGGCTGAGGCACGAGAATCACTTGAACCTAGGAGGTGGAGGTTCCAGTGAGCCAAGATCGCACCCCTGCCCTCAAGACTGGGTGACAGAGCGAGACTCCATCTCAAAAAAACAAAAGAAAACAAAGTTATCCTCTCCAAGCCCAGGAGTGTCGATCTAGCACCAATGACGGGCAGGTCCACATGCTTTACCAGCTGGCTGTGCCAGAAGTAGGACCAACCTGGCTCATGAAAACTGAGCAGCTTAAACAGGCCCCAGGAGGAGGCCAAGGAGTGTCTGGGGCCGGGCTGGGGTTTCCTCAGGAGAGTCCAGGTCTGCACCCACAGAAAAACACATGATGATGAAGGCTTGCAGCTGCATCCCCAGCAGCACAGCAAAGTTCACTTTGATCTGGAAATTGTTCCAGTAGATGCTTCCAACACCTACCACAGCTCTTATTAAAGTCTCCAATTACCTAGAGACAATCTAATAAACCCAGCAACAATCAGAGTTTGGACTGCTTTAAGCCTGGAGGACTTTCGGCAAATGCATCATTACACAGACCATTTCTGTGATCACCTGGTACCAAAGTCAAACCCTGTCCACAGTGCATCTTTCTGTTCTCCTGGAGGTAGGGGGCACCCGCGATGGATTGAACCTGGGTGGTAGGTCATTATAACTAGTTTAATTCCGTGCAAGTTTGAAATTTTTCATAATTTTTAAAGCTAAATTAGTCCCTAAGGTACAAACCCAAGAGAAGGAAGTGGTGGGCAAGGACTCATCCTGCATCTTAATTTCGCTAAACCAAAAATTATCTTTATCTAAATTAACCCATCAAGAAGAGCCTCACGATAACAATAAACATTTACAAGCCAGAGACTGTGCTAAGAACTACCTGCCGGCCGGGCACGGTGGCTCAAGCCTGTAATCCCAGCACTTTGGGAGGCCGAGGCGGGCGGATCACGAGGTCAGAAGTTTGAGACCAGCCTGGCCAACACAGTGAAACCCTGTCTCTACTAAAAATACAAAAAAGTAGCCGGGTGTGGTGGTGTGCACCTGTAATCCCAGCTACTCAGGAGGCTGAGGCAGGAAAATCGTGTGAACCCGGGAGGCAGAGGTTGCAGTGAGCTGAGATCGTGCCATTGCACTCCAGCCTGGGTGACAGTGCGAGACTCTGTCTCAAAAAAAAAAAAAAAGAACTACTTGCCTTGGGTACCTCAGTGTCTAAGGCTGAGGGGAAGTCATCACCAGCACAAAGAAGCTTTGCTGTTTTCTTAGAGGTTTTTCTGAAGGTCATACAACAATTGTAGGTAATGAAACAACTAGGAAGTTGGTAGGAGAGACAAAGGCTGGCAATTGATTTAGAAGGAAACTAACTGGCTTACATTTTAGATGGAATAGTAAGCAAGTTAAGTATATAATAAGCAAGTAAGTATACAGCTTTAAATAAATAGACTAGGCCAGGTGCAGTGGCTCACACCTATAATTCCAGCACTTTGGGAGGCTGAGGTGGGTGGATCACCTGAGGTCAGGAGTTCAAGACCAGCCTGGCCAACATGGTGAAACCCCGTCCCTACTAAAAATGCAAAAATTAGCCGGGCGTAGTGGAGGACACTGGTGGAGGATGCCTGTAATCCAGCTACTCGGGAGGCTGAGGCAGGAGAATCACTTGAACCAGGGAGGTGAGGTTGCAGTGAGCCAAGATTGTGCCATTGCACTCCAGCCTGGGTGACAGAGCGAGACTTTGTCTCAAAATAAATAAATAAATAGACTAAATTTTTCTCCAGTGAAACGGATTGCCCGTAAAATTTTAGAAAAAAAAAGGAAGATGAAGTGTCTACACTCTCCATCCTTGAACAATACTGCAAGTGAAGATCCTCCCGGGTGCTCTATTTAGCTCAAGCCATTACTAGACTGAACTGCAGGAGGAAGCAAGGCCTCACCTCCAGCCAAACATGCAACGGGAAATTCATAACAAGCAATCAGGTATGAATGCAGAAGGGGCTTCCCCAGGAAAAGAAACGAACACAGGAACATTGATAGAGCTAAATCTGCCCAGCCCTGTAGCCTCCAGTGGCCACTTTCCAGCCCCTCTTGCCTGAGGATCCTCAGCAACAAGGTGCCCAGGAACCTGAGGTGGCAGAAACACTACTCCACCCACCCCTCCATCCCTGATACCTGCTGACAGCATTGACCACAAGCCTCAGCTGCTCCTCGGCTGAGGCTGTCTGCTGCTGCCACCGACGCCTGGCCTCCTGAGCACGGCTCAGCTCCAACTGCAGGCCCTGGGGAGGATGCAGCAAAGGACAGGGTCCCTCCCTAAGTCCTGGCTGCAGCCCCGGAACAGGGGCTCCCTTGCCCTCCCCGAGTCTCTAGTAGGCTGACACCAACCTTGGCACCCATACGCTCCACCTCCACCTCTGCGGCTTTGTCCTGCAGGGATCGCTGCAGGATGGCCTGCTCCTGGCTCTGGGATGTCACTTTTTCCTGGAGTGAGGCCACCTGGGGGAGGAGAGAGAGCTGGGCAGGGCCCTCTAGAGCTAAAAGATGAGGGGGGCACTGGAAGCAAAGTGGCAGGTGCAGAGATCTCTGTAAGAATGCCATGCAGGGGCTGGGGGGAGGGAGGGCGGGCGACGGGGGTGGGTCGCAGCACGGTGGCTCACACCTGTAATCCCAGCACTTTGGGAGGCCGAGGCAGATGGATCACTTGAGGTCAGGGGTTCAAGATCAGCCTGGCCAACATGGTGAAAGCCTGTCTCTACTAAAAATACAAAAATTAGCTGAGCGTGATGGCATGTGCCTGTAATCCCAGCTACTCGGGAGGCTGAGGCAGGAGAATCACTTGAACCTGGGAGGCGGAGGTTGCAGTGAGCTGAGATCAGGCCACTGCACTCCAGCCTGGGTGACAAGAACAAGACTCCTTCTCAAAAAAAAAAAAAAAAAGAAAAGAAAAGAAAAAGAATGAATGCCACGCAGGGAGACAGAAGCTTAGGTTCTGAGGATGGAATCTGAGCCCAGTGTTCCATGTTCCACATTCCATGTGCCCACTCGAAGATGGGAATAGCCCTTGACACACCCCACAAGACCCACCAACTGACCATGCCACTCTCCTCAGATGCTGTCACCTCCTCAGAGAGGCTGTCTCTGAGCATCCTACCTGAGGCTGACTCACCCCACAGTCTCTCCGTCACATTATCTTTTGAATTTTTCTTACTACTTTCTTTTTTTTTGAGAAAAGATCTCGCTTTGTCACCCAGGCTAGAGTGCAGTGATGGGATCACAGTTCACTGTGGCCTCGCCTCGACCTCCCAGCCTCAGGTGATCCTCCCACCTCATCCTCCAGAGTAGCTGGGACTACAGGAATGAGCCACTATGCCCGGCTAATTTTTTGTATTTTTAGTAGAGACGGGATTTCACATGTTGCCCAGGCTGGTCTCGAACTCCTGACCTCCAGTGATCCACCTGCCTCGGTCTCCCAAACTGTTGGCATTACTTGACTGGGCACGGTGGCTCACACCTGTAATCCCATCACTTTGGGAGGCTGAGGCAGGTGAATCACCTGAGGTCAGGAGTTGGAGACCAAAGTGATCGCATTATAGGTGTGAGCCACTGCACCCGGCTTCAATCTTTCTATCGCACATATAATTACCCAACATTATCTGTTTACTTGCGTGTTCTGTGTCTCTGTTCTAGAATGCAAGCTCCACATTTTAGTTTTGTTCAGGGCTGTGTGCCCAGCATGTGGCAACCACTCAATAAACACTGGTTGAATGGATGCCACCTTCATGGAAGGAGCAAGGTGCTGGGAGGGAATACCGGGAGAAAAGAGAGTGCAGTGACCTGTCCCTTCAGCTGCTTAACAGAGTCACTGTGTTCCAGCTCCTGGGCCTTTAGCTGCACCATGAGGGCAAACACCTTCTCCCGCCAGCGGTTCAGCAGGGACTGGCACTTCCTGGTAAACTCAGGCTCCAGGGAATCTGAAGGTTGAACCTGAGGGAGAAGGAGTGGGAGAAAAGTGTGGGCTCCTGGGGGAGGAGAGGAAGGAGGTGGCATCTTTGTTTCTCCTCTGTCCTGCCTGGGCAACATGAGCTACAGCAAGAGGAGTTCACAGGAAGGAGATCTAAGCAGGTTCTGGGGCACATTGACCCCTCCTGCCCACAGGGAGGGAGGCAGGGGACAGTAGATGCAGGATGCGGCTGAGGGTGAGGGGTCTGGGGGTTGGGCTGTACCTTCCTGGTCAGCTCCTCCTCCTGCAGGGCGAGGATGTGTGTGAGGCTCTGCACCCGCACCTGCAGCAGCTCCGCGGTGGCATGCAGGCTGTCCCGGTCCTCCTGCAAGTGCTGCGGGCAGAGGAAAGCAGCCCCTCTGTAGGGCCTCCATGCCGCCTTAGGTACCACCTTCTCTCCCGGAGGCTGTGCTCTACACGCTCCTCCAAGGGCCACGCTTGCCTCCCAACCTGATCCCTAAGTCTGCACACAGATACATTCCTGCACCCTCACCTGCATGGTGTCCAGAAGCTTCTGTCGCTCCAGTTCCCATGTCTGGCTGTGGACCTCAGAAGGGACTTGTTCCCCAACATATTTTCTTAGATTCTCAACCAGGGTCACCTGAGCCTCCAAGTCTTCCTGGGTCTTGCTAGGGTTGGGGTGGGAATGGGACAGCCATCAGTGGGGCGCCCTGCAGATCCACCACATCACTAATTGCTGGGCTCCCGTCGGCGTCCGCCCACCTACCTCAGCTGCTTCCGAAGCAGCTCGGCCTCCCTCTGAGCCTCGGCCAGCTCCTTGGCTTCCCCTGCTCTTCTGGTTTCCAGACTACTCAGAGACTTCTCCAAGCCCTCAGCCTTGCTGGTCAAACTGGAAAGAGCCTCCTCGTGAGCCTGTGTCAAAGAGGACAGCTGCGGAAAGAAGAGGGGGCTCAGCAGAGGCTCGACCCCACATGGAGGCCTTCCTTGTTCCCTTCACTCCCACTTTCTGTGACCTTAGAGAATGACCCAACCAATCAGCCAACTGTGCACAGCAAATGGAGAGCTGGCAACTCACTCTCCGCAGCTGCCCCACAACCCATCAGGAGTTCTTGTCCGATCTCCCCCAAAACATATCTTCACCTCTCTGTCTCCGTCTCCACTGCCACCAACCCTCATCTTTTGCCTGGGCAACAGCGACCATCTCCTAACTAGTCTTTACAAACCCTCAGTGGCTTCTCACAGCATTCACAACAAAACCCAGGTGTCTCTCCACACCTGCAGGCCAGGGGACCCGGCCTCTGCCTACCTCCTGAGCTCACCCTGGAGGCTCTCCCACTGCTCCCCGCTCCGGCCACGGGGAGTCTGCTGAGAACCAGACAGCGGCCCCTCCTTGCTCCACAGACCCCAGGCGATAGCCCCTCCTCAGGGTGGCTTCACTGGGCCCTCTAATACTGTCCCTCCCCACCCTACTCTGCCCCATCAGCTGTTCACGTCCTCCTGAGCACTTAGCACTGACCATATCTTGCTTATGTGTATGTGTTACTATCTGTCGGACCACACTGGAAGGAAAGCTCCAGGAAAGGAGGAATTTTGTGTCTTTTGCTCATGGCACCTCAAAGTGTTGCAGGGGTGTCAGAGCCACCAAGAGTCATGGGATGGACTGGAAAGGAGGGCAAAGTGCCCACCCTGCTTCCTGGTCTGCCTCCTCTAGCCCTGTCTCCATACAACAATAAAATTAATTTGGGGGACATAAATGACAAAATTTTTTAGACATAAAATACAAATCTAATCATGTTATTTCCCTGCTTAAAACCTTTCAACAGGCCGGGCGCAGTGGCTCATTCCTGTAATTCCAGCACTTTGGGAGGCCGAGGTGGGTGGATCACAAGGTCAGGAGATTGAGATCATCCTGGCTAACACGGTGAAACCCCGTCTCTATTAAAATACAAAAAATTAGCTGGGCGTGGTGGCGGGCGCCTGTAGTCCCAGCTACTCGGAAGAATGACATGAACCCGGGAGGCGGAGCTTGCAGTGAGCCAAGATCGCGCCACTGCACTCCAGCCTGGGCGACAGAGCGAGACTCCATCTCAAAAAAAAAAAAAAACAACCTTTCAACGGTTGCTTATTACTTGAAAAAACAATTTTTTTTTGTTTGTTTTTTTGGAGATGGAGTTTCACTTTGTTGCCTAGACTGGAGTGCAATGGCACGATCTCAGCTCACTGCAAACGCTGCCTCCCAGGTTCAAGCGATTCTCCTGCCTCACCCTCCCGCCTCACCCTCCCGAGTAGCTGAGATTACAGGCATGAGCCACCACGCCCAGCTAATTTTTGTATTTTTAGTAGAGATGAGGTTTTACCATGTTGGCCAGGCTGGTCTCGAACTCCTGACCTCAAGTGATCCACCCGCCTCAGCTTCCCAAAGTGCTAGGATTACACATGTGAGCAACCATGCCCAGCCCTAATTTCTTCCATAAAATAGAGATGGGGGTCTCGCTTTGTTGCCCAGGCTGGTCTCAAACTCCTGGGCTCAAATGATCCTTCCACCTTGGCCTCCCAAAGTGCTAGGATTACAGGTATGAGCCACTGTGCCCAGCCTGCTCATTGCTCTTATGGGAAAGTAGCAAGTTCTGAAGTGGCCAAAGCCTTGTGCCCTGGGTCCTGGGCTCTGCAGCACACTCAGTGCCCCTCATCTCTGTGCCCCAGCCTTCTGGCCTCCTGTCCCCGCCTTCACCTGTTGTCCCACCAAGTGTCTTCCAGCTACCACTGGACTTCACACGCCTCTTCACTGGCCAACTCCTATTCAGCACAAACGGTAGCTTGTTGTTTTTTTAGTCTCGCTCTGCTGCCCAGGCTGGAGTGTGATGTCAGCTCACTGTAACCTCTGTCTCCCAGGTTCAAGCAATTCTCCTGCCTCAGCCTCCCAAGAAGCTGGGGGATTACAGGCGCCCACGACTATACCCGGCTAATTTTTGTATTTTTTTGTAGAGTTCTTCATGTTGGCCAGGTTGGTCTTTAACTCCTGGCCTCAAGTGATCCGCCCACCTCGGCCTCCCAAAGTGCTGGGATTACAGGCATGAGCCACTGTGCCTGGCCTAGCTTCTTGTTTCTAAGTTTCTTTCATAAATCTCCTTTGTCCATTTTCTGATTGGATTGCTGGTCTTTCCCTTACCAATTTCTAGGCACACATTTTATATTAGGGATATTACCCTTTTCTTGTGATCTGAGCTATAAATATAGCTTTTTTTTTTCTTTTTGGCTATTCCTAATGTTCATGTTATAAAGTCAATGGATCAATTTTTTCCTTTATGGCTTCTAGATTTTGGATTTTGACTCACAGGTAGAAAGGCCTTGCCCACTACAAGGTTATAAAGGAATTCTCCCTTGTTTTCTCCCAGTTCCTTTTTTATTTTATTTTTTGAGACAGAGTCTTGCTCTGTCGCCCAGGCTGGAGTGCAATGGCACAGTCTCGGCTCACTGCAACCTCCACTGCCCAGGTTCAAGTGATTCTCCTGCCTCGGCCTCCCAAGTAGCTGGGATTACAGGTGCGCACCACCATGCCTGGTGAATTTTTTTATTTTTAGTAGAGACAGGGTTTCGCCATGTTGGCCAGGCTGGTCTTGAACTCCTGACCTTGTGATCTGCCTGCTTCGGCCTCCCAAAATGCTGGGATTACAGGCGTGAGCCACTGCGCCCAGGGCTATGGTTTCTTTCCTTGACATGTCAACTGGTTACAGTGGCCTTCCCTGAACCCCAGACTAAGTTAGTGCTTTCTAGTCCTTCTCCTTCAAGGCATTCCTCCTGATTGCAATTAATTATGATTAAATTAAATGTGGATGTGTATATCCCCCACGAGGCTGTCAGTTCCATCCACGAAGGCAGGACTCAGGCTAATTTGGTCACTGAGTCTTAGAGATGGCAGAGTAAGTACTGAGTTTGAGGACTGAATAATCTCTCTCTCCCAGTCCACCATAGCCCCCTTATACCCACCTTCCTCACTGCCCTCCACAATACCCCTGATGAATTGGTACCTGGAGTAAAGTAGGGAGGCAAACTATTTCCTACTAGAAAGGGAAGCAGGGCTTCAAGTGGTGGGAGGCCACCTGAGTCTTGGGGGAAAAGTGCAACCTGAATTAAGATAAAAGTACCCAAATTCTCCATCTTTCTAGCCCATGTGTGTTTATTTTCACCAAAGGTCTCATCACTCTACTACTCACTACTCATGGAGGGTCTTTTCTGCAATACCTGTTCTTTGCTTGGAAGCTACTGCCCAGCTCTCCGTTATGAATTTGAATCCTTTCTACCCCTGCATTCACCTGCTCTTGGTGCAGCCTCTGAACCTCTTCCAGCTCCCGCTGCCTCCCCTCTTCCAAGTTCTTCCGGACAACCTCAGCCCCAGCCAAAGCAGCACGCAGGCCCTCAGCCTCAGCTCGGCCGGCCTTCTCCGCCCGTGCCAGAGCCTCTAGCTCCATGGCCTGGGCCTCTAGCCTCATCTTCTGCTGCAGCGAGGTCTCCCGCAGGAGCCGGACCTCCTCCTCCAGCCGCCGCAGCTCTTGCAGCTGCCGAACGATCACCTCAGCCTGCTGGCTCAGGGCCTGTGACCCCTCCAGCCCCCAGGACCTTCAAAGACAGGTTAGTGCAGGTGAGACTTGTCTCCAGTGCTGGAAGGATAGTTGAGGGCATAAACATAGCCAGGAGAAGGAAAAGAGGACCCCTCTGCTTCCGTGTGGGGAGGTGAAGGGGGTGCTGAAGCTGGGGTATGGGGATGTCTGCATTGACATCATCATCATTCATCAAAGCCCTATTGAGCATGTTGAGTCCAGTGCCTGGACTCACAGGACCTAAAGTCTGGCTGAGATCGTGGAACATGATCTCCCTAGAGAGAGCTACATACAGGAGGATTCAACATCAAATGTGTATATCATTAGGCCACACATTCTTTTTGTTTTTTGGTGGTTTTTTTGTCTTATTTATTTTTTTATTTTTAGGCCACACATTTTAAGTGGAAAGGTTGGAAGAACACACAGGGACTTCTCAATTCTAATTTAAGGGCAAGAAGTTTGAGGGAGGAATGGGCATAGAGAGGTCGTAAGCTTCCAGTATCAATATGGTGAGGCCAGGTGCTAGTTAAAAGGCATTTATTGGCTGGGCGCGGTGGCTCATGCCTGTAATCCCAGCACTTTGGGAGGCCGAGGCGGGCGGATCACGAGGTCAGGAGATCGAGATCATCCTGGTTAACACGGTGAAACCCCATCTCTACTAAAAATATAAAAAACTAGCTGGGCGTGGTGGCAGGTGCCTGTAGTCCCAGCTGCTTGGGAGGCTGAGGCAGGAGAATGGCGTCAACCTGGGAGGCGGAGCTTGCAGTGAGCCAAGATCTCCCCAGTGCACTCCAGCCTGGGCGACAGAGTGAGACTCCATCTCAAAAAAAAAAAAAAAAAAAAAAGGCATTTATTGAGTGTTAGGTATACTTTATGAGGAGTCTGAGAGAACAGTACATAAATAACACAGTGCCAGCCTTTAGAGAAATCGTCTACCAATGTCACGTGAAGTTTAATCCAGCTTGGAACATGGCTCCTGAGGCAGCTCTCTGAGACCCAGGACTATAAGAGATTGTTGTTGTTGTCGTTTTTAGAGACAGGGTATCACTGTGTCACCCAGGCCTCAATGCAGTGGCTGGATCATAGGTCACTGCAGTCTTCAACTTCTGAGCTCAAGGGGTCCTACCACCTTAGCCTCCTGAGTAGCTAGGACTACAAATGCATGCCACCACAGCCAGCTAATTATTTTCTGTGGAGACGGAGTCTCGCTTTGTTGCCCACGCTGGTCATGAACTCCTGGGCTCAAGTGATCCTCCTGCCTCAGCTCCCAAAGTGCTAGGATTATAGGTGTGAGCCGCCATATCTGGCTCGCTCTTTCTTTCTTTCTTTAGTAGCAGCGATCTGTAGGCTAGGGAAATTAAGTGACTTGCCAAATGTCCTCTAGCTGGTAGCCAAACTAGAAATAGAGTCTCTGTCTCCTGACACCCAGTCTAGTATTCCTTCTTCATCATGCTGCTTCTTCTAATGTAATCCTATTCTGGAGCAAAATGGCAGAATGATATCCCAGTACATCTGGGAAAAGACACATGAAACAAGAATAAGAATGTTTACAGATAATACGACAGCATGGCCAGCTCCCACAGCATGTCCTCTGTAAAGGCTTTCTTCCATCAGAATGAACCCACACTGCCACAGTGCTGGGTCTCTACCTCTAGTTTGCACTTCTTCATCTTGCCTCATACCATGCTTTACCATCAGCTGGTGGTCAATCTATCTCCCCTCTTAGGATTTTAGATTCCTTATTAATTACAAATTTAAGTCAGGATTTGTCTTATTCACTATTGTTATCCTCATCCCTAGCACTTAGCACACTGCTTTATTATTTATGCACTGTAGGAACTAATTGCTTACATAAAAATGAGTACGTTCTGGAAACTAGGGCCGAAATAGGGTAAGGAGTTTATTCCAGTGAGGAAGGGTCACTAGCAAGCAAGCCTGAGAAAACGGCGTGGATGGATCCCTACCTGCCTCTCCGCCCTGGCTCCTGCCTGTCACTGGAAACATCCCGTTCCCACATGGTCACTTGAGGTCTCTGGGTGTCTAGCCGCCTCTCTGAGACATCTTGATGGCCTGGGGGTTGGACCAGGGGAATGTCTGAGAGCCAGGTGGGAGCCATTCTTGGCAGAGTTGAAAGGGGCCGAGCTTGAAAGTGGGAGGGGGGAATCAGCCCAGTGGAACCTGAAGAATTACAAAAACAAAGATGGTCAGTTTCCCAGGCAGAGACAACCACCACTCCCCTTGTCTGGTCCCACTGACCTGAAGGTGGAAACATCTCCACATTATTTGAAGGCTCTAGATTCTGTCTTCAGCCATCTATGTTCCCCTGGACAAGAGGAGAAACAAAGACACTCCAATTCAATTTTCAGGCCACCTTCCAAAGAGAAAGCCCCTACAATAACAAAGTCATAATCCTTGAATTATAGCCAGGTCCACCCGATGCTTAGCTCTTTTCCTACTTCCCCAAAGTAGGAGATACCCCAAATTCACTTGCTTGTCTCAACCTGGTTCCTCATGGAACCCAAGCAACTAACTATCAAGTGGAGAGAATTTACTGAAAGAGACAGACTGAGAGGGGCTCTGAGGCTTTACTCATACTTTCAGGATTCTGGGCAGTGCCTTTACCCTCCTCCTTAAGTTTCTATGGTCCCTGCTGCTCCTGGCCAGAGGTGAGAAAGGAGGTACACAGTGCAGGGGTCTTGAGCGCCATCTCCAGAGTTCTCTCCATGGCTCAGCAAGGCCTGAGGGAAGCCCATCCAGACACCAGCAGGCCATGACTCTTGGGTCCTTCCCTGTTAAAGTGCTGGCCCAAGGCCTGGCCCCAGCTGAATGTGGCCACATGCAGGGCTAGACCCTCCCCAAGACCTTGGGAATCCAGGCCGCCTAGATCCCCAGGCAGAAAAGCCAGCGTCCTGACATCTTATTCAAATCTTTCCTGCGGCTGTTCTCTCAGCTTCTCTCTACTATCCCCTTAGCTTCCATGCCTGCTGCCCGCCTCCTCTTTCTCGAGTCCTAACACATAGTGGGCACTTGAAGATCTTCCTCCCACCCTCCCACCCTCATTAATCTATTTTTTACCCGAATCTGGGATCCCTACTCCCGTCCCTTTTTACAACCTAATCTACCTTTTTCTGAAGGAATTATTCTGGTCCTGACCCTCACCCCCATCTCTCAATAGCCTGCCCTCGCCCCCTGTACGCTAGCCGGCTCTACTCTCCCACCACTGCTCCCCTAGATACCCGAGGCTTCACCCAGTTAGCCCGTGAGCTCTAAGGCTGTTCTGATCTCTTCATCTGTCCCTTCACCTGGCCCCTGTACCCCCTTCCCCTTTGGACCCCTTGAACCCTCCCAGGACCCCCGCTCAGCCCCTTCCCGCCCCCAACCGACTCTTCCCGAACGTCCCTTACCAACCGCGAGAGCCCCCTACTGCGCTTTGGCCACACCCCCTACGCCTCGCTCCCGGCCCCGCCTCTGCCCCTGACCGCGCCTGCGCAAGGCGGGCGCCCTAAAGTCCTATTTCACTCTGTTGGGAGGAGGGGGAAAGGTGTACGCAGGCGCAGTGGCGTCTAAATTTGGGCCCACTAAATGCGTCGGAGCATCTCCGCGCCCAGGCGGCTCCTCCTCACTGCGGCAACCCGGGAAAACTTGTGAACTAATCAGAAAAAGTGGAAGGCGGGAGATCTTGGGGCGCTGTCCAATGGCGCGGAAGAGAACAAATGAGCTGGCCAATCGGGAACGGCACGGGGGCGGGCTCGCTCGGCGCGAAGTTCGGGCCCGGGAATTCCGAAGGAGGGGTAGGCGCTGCCCGCGCGCAGAGGCCGCGCCCCTCCTGGCCCCGGCTTCTTGGCTGTCAAACAGATGCAGCAACGTCGGCTCCTGCCGAGGAGCCCAAGGGGTCCCGGGATCCGCCGCACAGGCTGGCACTGCTTGAAGAGGAGGCTACTCGGAGACTGCGCCGCGCGGGTAGATCCGAAACGGGGCTGGGGCGGAGTGGGAAAAGGCCGGGTATGCCTTGCATGATCGCGGGGAGCTCCTTCCTGTTTTTATCCCACCTAGAGAAGCCGGGAAGTAGGGGTTTAGGTCCAATTTGTTGGAGTACTTAAGGACTCGTTTGCACTTTCTTTTGGGGGATGACAGTGGATTCATTGCCCTCGGAGGTTCAACCAGTTATGAGTGAGGGATTGGCCAGAAGATCGGGGCGCAGGCAAGCAGGAGTGCTCTATTAGGATAAGCAAGTTTGACAGGAAGAAGCTGCTCTTCTCCGAATTACACAGAGGTGATGTGTTCGTATTGCACGTAGACGTGTGTATAACAGGACCTCCTTCCCCGCGCCCCGCCACCCCGACACACACAGGAGCTGCCTAAAGTATCCTTGCCTTGCAGATTGGAGGCTCCCCAAATATTTTGTGATCTGAGGATCCAGCTCAAGTGAGGTGCCATAGGACGTGTTCCTGAGTTTGCATTGCACGGAGACCTTCCTGGAATTTTTCATTTGCAAGTCGGCTTAACCAATTTTGCATTGAGTCCTAGGCTGCTTGCACTCTGAATTTGGGCTA